>NC_000011.10:98384545-98687576 GCF_000001405.40 Homo sapiens | reverse complement strand
CTTTATAACCAGTAGGACTGCTATAATCAAAATAGTCAGATAATAAAAAAGGTGATGAAGATGTATAGAAATGAGAATCTTCAGCCAGGGGTGGTGGCTCATGCCTGTGATCCCTGTACTTTGGGAGGCCAAGGTGGGTGGATCACGAGGTCAGGTGTTTGAGACCAGCCTGACCAACATGGTGAAACCCCGACTCTACTAAAAATACAAAAATTAGCTGGCGTGGTAGTGTGCGCCTGTACTCCCAGCAACTTAGGAGGCTGAGTCAGGAGAATCACTTGAACCCGGGAGGCAGAGGTTGCAGTGAGCCAAGATCATGCCACTGTACTTCAGCCTGGGCGACAGAGTGAGACTCCGTCTCAAAAAAAAAAAAAAAGAAACAAGAATCTTCAAACACTGCTGGTAAAAAAATTGTTGTAAAAAAGCAGCAAGAGAAAAGAAACAAATCACATGCAATGAACTCCAATATGTCTGGCAGCAGACATTTCAGTGGATATCTTACAGTCCAGGAGAGAGTGGCATGATACATTTAAAGTGCTAAAGAAAAAAAACTTTTACCCTAGAATAGTATATCTGGTGAAAATATTCCTCAACAATGAAGGAGAAATAAAGACTTTCCCAGGCAAACAAAAGCTGAGGAATTTCATCAGTACAAGACGTGTCCTACAAGAAATGCTAAAGGGAATACTTTTATCAGAACAAAAGGATGTCAAAATCAATAAGAAATCATCTGAAGGTACAAAACTCACTGGCAGTAGTAAGCGCAGAGAAAAAAGCAGAATATTATAATACTGTAAATGTGGTGGATAAACTATTCTTAAGTAGAAAGAGTAAACATTGAATCAATCAAAAATAATAACTACAGCAACTTTTCAAGACATAGGCTGTACATTAAAGATGTGAATGGAAACAACAAGAAGTTAAAAAGCAGGTGGATGATGTTGAGATGTCGAGTTTTTATTAGTTTTCTTTTGCTTGCTTGTTTGTTCCTACAAACTGTGTTGTTATCAGCTTAAAATAATAGATTATAAGAGAGTATTTGGAAGCCTCATGGTAACCTCAAATCAAAAGGCATACAATGGATACACAAAAAAACAAAAAGCAAGAAATTAAGTCTTACTGCTTGAGAAAATCACCTTCACTAAAAGAAAGATCGATTAATTACAATGTTTCTTTATTGATTTTCTCTCTGGAAATTTTGCCCAATGTTGAAAGTGGGGTGTTGAAATTTCCAGCTATTATTTTACTGTAGTCTATCTCTCTCTTTAGTTCTAATAAAATTTGCTTTATATATCTGTGTGTTCCAGGGTTTGCTGCATGCATATTTACAATTGTGATATCCTCTTGCCCCTTTATCATTATATACCGACTTTCTTGGTCTCTTCTCAGGGTTTTTGTCTATTGGTGTAGCTATTCTTGCTCTTTTTTCATTTCCATTGGCATCTAGTATCTTCTTCCAATCTTTTGTACTCAGTCTATATGTGTCTTTATAGGTGAAATTAATGTCTTGTAGGCAGTAGACAACAGATGAGTGGGTCTTGTTTATGTTATCCAGTCAGCCACTCTTTGTCTTTTGATTGGAGAGTTTAGTCCATTTTCATTCAATGTCATTACTAATAGAGACTTACGCCTGACATTTTGTTATTTGTTTTCTGGTTGTTTTGTTGAACTACTTTTCCTTTTCCTTTTCCTTCATTCCTTTCTTTCTGTCTTTGTTTTTTTTGTTTTGTTTTTTTGTTTTTTTGTTTTTTTGAGACAGTTTTGCTCTTGTTGCCCAGGCTGGAGTGCAATGGCAAGATCTCGGCTCACCACAATCTCTGCCTCCTGGGTTCAAACAATTTTCCTGCCTCAGCCTCCCAAGTAGCTGGGATTATAGGCATGCGCCTCCATGCCGGCTAATTTTGTATTTTTAGTAGAGATGGGGTTTCTCCATGTTGATCAGGGTGGTTTCGAGCTCCCAACCTCAGGTGATCCGCCTGCCTCAGCCTCCCAATCTTTCTGTCTTTCTTTATTTCTGACAAAGGTGCCAAGGACATACACTGGGGAAAAGGTAGTGTGATAAATAAATGATGCCGGAAAAACTGGATGTCCACATGCAGAAGAAAGAAACTAGATCCCTTATCTCTTGCCATATACCAAAATCAAATAAAAATGGATTAACTACTTATATCTGACTTCAATCTGTGGAATTACTAAAAGAAAACATTGGGAAAATGGGATTCTATTAAGTTAAAATGCTTCTGCACAGCAAAGGAAACAATTAACAAAGTGACAACCCACAGAATAAAAGAAAATACTTGCAAACTGCCCTTTTCTCAAGGGACCAATAACCAGAATATACAAAAAGCTCAAAGAACAACTCAAGAGGAAAAAAAATGTAACAATGCTGTAAAAAAATGGACAAAAGATCTGAACTGACATTTCTCAAAAGAAACATACCAATGGGACAGGCATATGAAAAGGTGCACAAAATCATTGATCATCAGTTAAAAACATCAAAACTACAATGAGATATCCACTCATCCCAGTTAAAATGGTTTTTATCCAAAAGACAGGCAATGACAAATGCTGGTGAGGACAGGGAGAAAAGGGAACCCTTGTACACTGTTGCCATTACCTGTCTTTTGGATAAAGCCCATTTTAATTAGGATGAGTTGATAATGTGGGAACGTATTAGTACTATCACTATGGAGAACAATTCAGAGGTTCCAGAAAAAGCTAAAAATAGAGACCATATGATCCAGCATTTCAGTATATTGAAGAGACCTGTATTCCCATGTTTACTTCAGCATTATTCACAATAGCCGAAATTTGGAAGCAACCTAGGTGTCCATCAAGAGATGAATGGATAAAGAAAATGTGGTACATATACAAAATAGGGTACTCTTCCTTCATAAAAATAATGAGATCCTGTCATTTGCAACAACATGGATGGAACTGGAGGTCATTATGTTAAGTGAAATAAGCCAGGCACGGAAAGAAAAGCCTCATATGTTCTCACTTTTTTTGTGGGAGCTAAAAATTAAAACAATTGAACTCATGGGGATAGAGAGTAGACAGGTGGTTACCAGAGGCTGGAAAGGGTAGTGGGGGGGAAATTCATATGGTTAATGTGTACAAATATATAGCTAGAAAAAATGAATAAGACCTAGCATTGCTACCACAAAAGGGTGACTATAGTAAAATGCAATTTAATTGTACATTGAAATATGTATAAAAGAATTGGCCAGGTGCAGTGGCTCATGCCTATAATCCCAGAACTTTGGGAGGCCAAAGTGAGCAGATCACCTGAGGTCAGGAGTTTGAGACCAGCCTGGCCAACATGGTGAAACCCCATCTCTACTAAAAATACAAAAATTAGCTGGGCTTGCTGGCAGGCGCCTAATCCCAGCTACTGAGGAAGCTGAGGCAAGAGAATTGCTTGAATCCGGGAGGCGGAGGTTGCAGTGAGCCGAGATCGCACCATCACACTCCAGCCTGGGGGACAAGAGTGAGACTTCATCTCAGAAAAAGAAATATATATAAAAGTGCATAATTGATTGTTTGTAATTGTTTGTAACACAAAGGATAAATGCTTGAGTGGGTGGATACCCCATTTGCCCTGATGTGATTATTGCACATTGCATGCTTATCAAAATATCTCATGCAACACATAATTACATACTATATACAAACAAATTAAAAATAAAAAAGAGAAAATGAAGTCATCCACTGTACAGCTTTTTTGATTATCACTTTTTGCAGATGAACCCTTTAACCTTATTATGATAAAGCATGATAGAGACGAGCAAAGTTTTTGATGAGCTATCTTCGTATAAACATTTTAAAGACAATAAAAAGCATGATGTGTTAATATCATTTATATATGTCACTTTCTTTTGTTGTATTTACGTAATTTTGATGAAATCTACCTTGAAGTTTGTTGAATAATCATCTCCAACAGATGTTTAAATCTTATTTTTGATCTACTGAATTTTAAACGTATTGTAAAATTTCCATGTTTATTCAACTTTGTCTCCACAATGCCTAATATAAGGAATGAACAGAAGTAAAAAAATTAGGGCAGAAAGAAATGGAACGGAGTCAGAAATTAAATGATTTGAATACCTAAAACAAAACATATTTTCTCTTAATGTAAAAATCAAGTTGCATTGCAAGATATGTATTATTAAAATGGCCCAAATAAGGGAAAAAGTACATTAGAATAAATACAATGGGTATTCTAATGTGTGTGAAAATATTTTTTAAATTAAGCAACCTGGTTTCATACATTAAAAACTCCATACTGTGGCAAAGCTGTTTTGCACTTGAAATCCTCGAGTTATTTATTTAAAGAAAATATAATTAAGCATAGTTTTATTAGTTTTAACACAACTGTGTTTTGTTATTTCTCATACATGACTTTTCTAAATTGCTTACTGTTTATTAGGATCCCTAGCATTTTACCTATCTCCAAAATCTTTCAGACTTCTGTGGTATATCTAATATTTAGGATAAACTGAGAAAACTAGAGAGTAGGAAAAGCAAAGATATTTAGTTCTGTGATGCATTTCTAAGACAAATCACTAAAATCTCAAAAGGCAACCTTTCAAAGGAGTTGTGCTCTCCCAAATGTTGATTGTGTTTCCTTTTGTACCTAGAAGATAATCCTTTAATTGCATACAGTCATTTATTTCCATTAGAGGCAACATAGAGTGCCTTAAAGGTTTTCCACCTTGTTCTTGATACTTGCCCTCTGTTCTCTTATATTTTCTCTTCCTCATATCTTCTATTAGTAAGGAAAAAGCCTATTTATCTATTTGTAAAAATTGTTGAAATAACTAATGCAAGTGAGGTTATATATGGATGTTGATTTTCCCAACTCTTATTAACAATCTAACCATTGTGCAAGAAGTTCTAATGAAATATTTTGCTGTGAAATTTTACTTTTCTTCGCCTTTTGGTGACCTCACTTGGATAATTACAGCATATGGTCCCAGTGAGTATGAAACGTGAATATAAAATGTAACTGTTTTAAAACATGCCAAAAGCTAGTATAACAATAATCCTTCCTAGTGTTTTCTAATGAACAAAATGATAATTTACCAGATGTTTTAGATTTACAATAATTAGAATCATAAAATCTTTCCAATAGTATTGAGCCAAAATGTAAAACATTGTATATTATATACTTCAGCTGTGATTTTCTAGCCCAAATTAATTTATCAGGCTCTTCGTTAAAAATGTACAAAGTTATATCATTGATTTTAATTCTGAACTGTAGTTTAAAAAATTATGTTTATTATCTATTGCAATCACTCTGTTATAACCATAAGAGCTTTCAGAAGTCAAATTGTGGAAGAGTTTATCATTTTAGGAGAAAATAGCTATCCTTAGTGAATTATACAATAGTTTGAAGATCCATATTCTTAGAAGTTCATGTGAAAGGCAGTCAGAATGTTAAATATATTATTCGCACATGTTTAACATGAGTTTAACAGAAGCAACTTTTTCAATAACAATATAATACTGAGTTAGTATAATCGACTTATACATCTTACGTATATTTGAAAATGTAACATATTTTAAAATAAAATCTCTAGGGCGTTTCCAGTGAGGATTACTAGTTAACAGGGAGAAACAATCTTGTACTATGTCTAAGTCACTGTTACATTATTTGTTAAAAGCTCATTGACCATCTCAAAACTATTTCTATATCTACTTCTTTCTGAAGTGAATAATGGTCGTCTTGAGAATTATTACTAATTATTGGGGCAAATTAATGATAGTATCTAAAATATGTATTTTGCTTCTGCTGTACACAGAGTGACTATTTAAGATAATTATATCTTGTTTATGTATACAGAAGCAAGTTAAAAACCAAAGGCATTTTCTGACAATATGTCCAACTACATGCAGCCAGAAAGCATCACTGCCACCAAAAAAGACCAAATTATTGAGTAAATCAACCCTATCTGGGCAGATCTTCAGAGAGAAAACCGAGAGTGAAAGGGGAGGTGGCACTGACACCACAGCGAAAGAGTGAGGACGCTGGGAACCCTGCATGAAATATCCGAATGCCAAGGCTAGTTCCTGGTCCTGAATGGCTCCTGGGGAAGAGATGTGTGAGGGAACTGAGGAACAGCTTACTCTTGCCATGGGCCTCTGGGATCCTATAGCTGCAGGTTATACCACATCCCACCTCATGGACCTGTGAGCCAGCAGGAGCATCTGCCCGGGGAGTAGGCAAAAACGACTTTGGCCAGCAGAGTCCAGGAGCTTTTGTGCACAGGGTGGCTCTGGCAGAGCATGGCCACAAGTGTCCACTCCCCAGGTCTTCCCAACTTCCTCGGATAGGCTGTAGCCCCACTTGACCGCTGGGCCAGGAGAAAGTGAGGCTAGACCTGGGGTGCAGTGGCTCATGCCTGTAATGCCAGCACTTTGGAAGGCCAAGGCGAGCAGGTTACTTGAGGTCAGGAGTCCGAGACCAGCCTGGCCAACATGGTGAAACCCCGTCTCTACTACAAATACAAAAACTAGCAGAGCATGGTGGTGCCACCGGGGCCCCTCTGTAATCCCAGCTACTCGGGAGGCTGAGGCAGGAGAAACGCTTGAACCCGAGAGGTTGCGGTGAGCCAAGATCGCGCCACTGCACTCTAGCCTGGGCAACAGAGCAAGACTCCATCTCAAACAAAAAACAAAACAAACAAACAAAAAAGGTGCTGCTGGCTTCTCTGTGGGACTGGGGCATGTCTGTTCTGTAGGCCCTCCTGCCCATCACCCTTTGCAGGGTCCCTGCCTAGCTGCCGCACAGTGCACCCTCCGCTGATCTCCCTGGGTGCTTTACTCTACCTAAGTACTTTCCCAGCAACCTATAAGCACTTTGGATCCCCCATGAACAGCCTGGCCCTGAGGCAGACCATCTGGTTGCCCCAGGGCTGCAGCATGCAGCTTGAGAGTGCTGAGCTGAGAGCTGTGGTAGGCATTTGAGTGGGACTGGATCCCCTACTCTTGGATCATGGAGAAGGACAAGATGCACAGCAGGTTCAGGGACCAGCGGGAGCAGGGATGATCCAGAAAGGATGTAGTGTGTCCTATCTCCCTGCTATAGCTTCTGTCTGAGAAAGCCCCGTGGCCCAGAACATCTAACAAACAAATTCAGGTGCAGCACCAGTGATCAAAGGGGGCTCCGTCAAGGCCCAGGGGCAGACCTGAAGAAGGGGGTCTCTCTCTCCCCACCCCACACTGCAGAGCATGCCTGCAAGTGAAAAGAAACACAAAATAGCCAAGCAACTGAGTAAGTGCATGTCCATCAGCAATTATTCTTAATCACCATCTACTAAATCACATCCCAAACTAAAACACCAAAAAAAGGCATTCTGTTAATATACATACCTGGGAAACCAGGAGCAAGGATTGACCGGGAAATAAAGATCTTCTACAGGGCTTTGGCCATCTTAAAGTATCTGGAAATGAACCCAACTGACTACACAGAACTTATACCACAGTCAAAGGAATACCAGCACCTGCCAAATGAGAAATGATCATCACAAGAAAAGCTAGAATGTCCCCTTACTTCCAAAGAAGCCCACTACCCCCCTCCCCCACCCCCAAAATTGTACTTAACCAGACTGAAATGGTTGAAATGACCCACAGAATTTAGAATCTGGATGAAAAAGGAGCTCACTGAGATGCAGAGAAGGTTGAAACCCAATCCAAGGAATCCAAGGAATCCAGTAATACGATCCAAGAGGCAAAGGACAAAATAGCCATTTTGAGAACCAAACTGAGCTTCTGGAACCAATAATTTCACTACAGGAATCTCACATTACAACTAGAAGTATTAACAGCAGAATAGACTAAGTTGAGAAAAGAAACTCAGAGCTCAAAGAAAAGTTATTTGAATCAACTCAGGCAAAAATAAAGAGAAAATAATGTAATAAATTGAACAAAACTTCTCATAAATATGGGATTATGTAAAAAAAATGAAATTTAAAACTCACTGGCACTCCTGAGAGAGAAGGAGACAGAGTAAGCAATGTGGCAAATATATTTGAGGATAAAGCCCACACAAAATTTCCCTAATTTCACTAGAGAGGTTGACATGCAAATTTAAGAAATACAGAGAACCCTGGCTAGATACTATATAAGACAACCAATTTCAAATCACATGGTGATCAGATTCACCAAGGTTAATGTGAAAAAAAAAAAAATTTAAGGCAACTAGAGAAAAAGATCAGTACACCTACAAAGGAAAACCCCATCAGGCTAGCAGCAGACTTCTTAACAGAAAATTTACAAGCCAGAAGTGATTGGGGACCTAATTCCTGCATCCTTAAATAAAAGAAATTTTAACCAAGAATTTCATATCCTGCCAAATTAAGCTTCATAAGCAAAGGAGAAATAAAATTATTCTCAGACAAGCAAATGCAGGAAATTTGATAACTCTAGACCAGCCTGGAGCCGGGCGTGGTAGCTCATGCCTGTAATTCCACTTTGGGAGGCCGAGGTGGGCAGATCACGAGGTCAGCAGATCGAGACCATCCTGGCTAACACGGTGAAACCCCGTCTCTAATTAAAAAAAACACAAAAAATTAGCCAGGCGTGGTGGCGGGTGCCTGTAGTCCCAGCTACTCGGGAGGCTGAGGCAGGAGAATGGCGTGAATCCAGGAGGTGGAGCTTGCAGTGAGCCAAGATCATGCCACTGCACTCCAGCCTGGGCAAGAGAGAGAGACTCTGTCACAGAAAATAAATAAATAAATAAATAAATAAATAAATAAATAAATAAATAAACCAGACTTATGAGAGGTTCATAAGGAAGTGCTAAACATGGAATCAAAAGAATGACACCTGCTACCACAAAAACACATTTAAGCACATAGTCCACAGACACTTTAAAATAACTACACAATCCATTCTACGTAACCACCAGGTAACAACACAATTACGGAATCCAAATCTCACATATCAAGGCTAACACTGAATGTAAATAAGCTCAACACACCAACTGAAAGACATGGAATGGCAAGCTGGATAAAAAGACAAGAGCCAATCATCTGCTATCATTAGCAGACCCATCTCATGTAATAACACCCAGAGGTTCAAAGTAAAGGGACGGAGAAAGATAAATGATACAAATGGAAAACAAAAAAGAGCAGGAGTCACTATTCTTATGTAAGCTAAAACATACTTTAAACCAACTACTATTAAGAAGGGCAAAGAAGGGCATTGCATAATGTTAAAGGGTGCAATTCAACAGGAAGAGTTAATTATCCTAAATATATATGCACCCAACACTGGACCACCCATATTTATAAAACAAGTTCTTCCTGACCTACAAAAATACTTAGACAGTCACACAATGAAAATGGGAGACTTCAACACCCCACTAAGAGAATTAGATAGGTCATCTAACAAAGCAATTCTTGATTTAAACTTGACACTTGATCAATTGACCTAATAGACATCAACAGAATACTCCACCCAGCAACCACAGAATATATATTACTCTCACCTGTACAAGGAACATACTTCAAGATTGACCACTTGCTCAACTATAAAGCATGTCTCAGTAAATTTTAAAAAAAAATTATACCAAACACATTCTCAGAGCACAGTACAATAAAAATATAAATCAATATCAAGAAGCTCTCTTAAAACTATACATATACATTTAAACTAAACAACTTGCTGCTGATTAACTTCTGGGTAAACATCAAAATTAAGTTAGAAATAAAAAAATTCTTTGAAATTGATGAAAATAGGGAAACAATTTGCCCAAATATCTGGGATACAGCTAAAGCAGTATTAAGAGGAATGTTTATGGTACTAACCACCTTCATCAAAAAGTTAGAAAGGTCTTGAATTAAAATCTAGCTTTGCATCTGGAAGAACTAGAATAAAAAGAACAAACCAACTCCTAGATGTAGCAGAATAAAAGAAATAACTAGGCCAGATGCAATGGCTCATGCCTGTAATCTCAGCACTTTGGAAAGCTGAGGTAGGAGGATTCCTTTAGGTCAAGAGTTTGAGAGCCACCTGGGCAACATAGCAAAAACCTAACACTACAAAAAAGTCAAAAAATTAGACACGGTTGGTGGCAGGTGACTGTAAGTCTCAGCTAGTTGGGAGGCTGAGTCAGAAGGATCACTTGAGCCAAGGAGTTTGAGGCTGCAGTGAGCTATGATCATGCTGCTGCAGTCCACCCTGAACTACAGAGTGAGACCTTATCTCAAATAAAAGAAAAAGAGAGAGAGAGAAGCTACAATTAGAAAAGAACTGAACAAAATTGAGAAGCAAAAATCAAGAATTGGTCCTTCAAAAGAATAAATAAGATTTATAGACCACTGGCTAGATTAACAGAAAAAAAAGAAAGTGAAGATCCAAATACGTGCAATCAGAAATGACAAAGTTTACATTAAAAATGATTGCACAGAAGTACAAAAAGATCCTCAGAGGCTGTTATAAACAACTCTATTCACATGAATTAGAAAAATCTAGTGGAAATGTATAAATTCCTGGAAATATACAAGCTTCCAAGTTTGAACCAGGAAGAATGTAAAAACCTGAAAAAAATGAATAGTAAGTTTTGAAATTGAATAAGTAATGAAAAACCTACCAAACAAAAAAAATACTGGACAAGACAGATTCACAGCCAAATTCTACCAGACATACAAGGAAGAAGTGGCACCAATCCTACTGAAACTATTCAAAAAAATCAAGAAGGGGTTCCTCCCTAACTCATCATCTGAAGCCAGAAACAGTCTGATATCAAAATCTGGGAGAGACACAACTACAAAGATATTGGATCTTCAGCCAATTTTCCTGATGAACACTGACACAAAAATCTTTAACAAAATACTAGCAAACCAAATCTAGCAGCACATCAAAAAGTTAATACAAGAGCAAGTGGCTTTATTCCTGAGATGCAAGGCTGGTTCAATATATGCAAATCAATATAAACACATAAACAGAATTCAAAGCAAAAAACATATGATCATCTCAACAGATGTAGAAAAAGCTTTTGATAAAATCCAGAATCCCTCTGTGATAAAAACCCTCAACAGACTAGGCATCAAATGAACATACCTCAAAATAATAAGAGCCATCTATGACAAACACAGAGACAACATCATCCTGAAGAAACAAAAGCTGGAACTGTTCTCCTTGAGAACTGGAACACGATAAGGATGCCCACTCTCACCACTTCTATTCAAAATATTACTGGATGTCCTAGGCAGAGAAATCAGGGAAGGGAAAAAAAATAAACAGCGTTCAAGTAGGGAAAGAAGAAGTCAAATTATTTTTCTTTGCTGACAATATAATTCTATACCTAAAAAACTCTAAAGACTTGGCCAAAAATCTCTTAGAACTGAAAAACAACTTCAGTAAAATTTCAGGATACAAAATGAATGTATGAAAATTAGTAGCACTTCCATACACCAATACCATTCAAGGTGAGAGTCAAATCAAGAAAACCTCATTTACAATAGCTGCAAATAATTGAAATACCTAGAGATACAGATAACAAAGGAAGTGAAAGATCTGTACAAGAACTACAAAACTCTTCTGAATGAAATTAGAGATAACACAAATAAGTGGGAAAACATTCCATGCTCTTGAATTGGAAAATCCAGTATCATTTAAATGGCTGTACTGCTCAAAGCAATTTATAGATCATATTAAATTACTAATGCCATTTTTCACAGAATTAGAAAAAAGATTCTTAAATTCATATGGAATTTTTTAAAAGTCCAAATCACCAAAGCAAGCAATCCTAGGCAAACAACAACAAAAACAAAAACTATCAAAGCCAGAGGCATCACACTACCGATCATATTACTTGACTTCGAATTATACTATAAGGCTACAGTAATCAAAATGGCATGGTACTGATACAGAAACAGACACATAGACCAATGGAACATAATAGAGAACCCAGAAATAAAGCCATGGACCTGCAGACATCTGATCTTTGACAAAGTCAACAAAAGCAAGCAATGAGGAAAAGACTTCCTATTAAAGGATGCTGGGATAACTGGCTAGACATATGCAGCAGAATGAAACTGGACCCCTACCTTTCACCATATAAAAAATTAACTGAAGATAGATTGTAGATTAAAATAAAAAACCACAAACTGTAAAAATCCTAGTAGAAAACCTAGGAAATACCCTTCTTGACATTGGCCTTGACAAAGAATTTTTGGCTAAGCTCCCAAAAACAATTGCTACAGAAACAAAAATTCACAAGTGGTATCTAATTAAAGAAAGGAGCTTATCCACAGCAAAAGTAGCAGTCAATAGAAGGAACAGACAACCTACAGATGAGAGAAAATATTCACAAACTATACATCCAACAAAGATCTAATATCAGAATCTATAAAGAAACTTAAACAAATCAACGAGCAACTCAAATAACCCCATTAAAAAATGGGCAAAGGACACGAACAGACACTTCTCAAAAAAATGGCATTCAAGTGGCCGATGAACATATGAATAAAATGCTCATCATCACTATTCATCAGATAAATGTAAATCAAAATCATAATGAGATACCATGTTACACTAGAGAGAATGGCTATTAGTAAAAAGTCAAAAAATAACAGACACTGGTGATAAAAGGATAAAAGGAAATACACCCTGTTGGTGGGAACGTAAATTAGTTCAGCCACTGTGGAAAGCAGTTTTGCGATTTCTCAGAGAACTTAAAACAGAGTTACCATTCAACCCAGTAATCCTATTGCTGGATATATCCCCACATGTGTATGTATATATCCAGCACCATTTATTGGGATATAAATGGTGCTGGGAAACTGGTGCTAGGATTTTCCCAAAAGTACATAAATAATTCCGTCAAAAAGATACCTGCATTTGTATATTCATCACTTTGCTACTCACAATGGCAAAGACATGGAATCAATTTAGGTAGCCATCAATGGTGAATTGAATAAAGAAAATGTGATATATATGCACCATGGAATACTACACAGCCACGAAAAAGAATAAAATCATGTCTTTTGCAGTAACATGGTTACAGCTGGAGGCCATAATCCTAAGATAATTAATACAGGAACAGCAAACCAAATACCATATATTTTTACTTATAAAGGAAAGCTAAACATTGGGTACTCATAGACATAAAGATGGGAAAAATAACACTGTGAAATACTAAAGGGGGAAGGGATGGAGGGGATTGTGTTTTGAAAAACTACCTGTTATTGGGTAGTATGCTCAATACCTGGATGATGGGACCCAGACCCTAAACCTCAGCATCACACAATAAACCCAGGTAACAAACCTGCCTGCGTACCCCCTGTATATAAAATAAAATTTGAAATTATTTTTAAAAGATGACATGCAACAACAGCAGCAATCACAAAATATTAAAACACAAAATATAGACTTAAGACAGCTTATCAAAGCACAATCAAAATATTAGGTAATATAAACTTAAGGTAGATAAAACAGGCAATGAGCAGTGAGACTGAAAAAATAAAATTGAATAAAGAATAATTTAAAACAAAAGGGACGCTTTGAAATTCCATACATTTTTCATGAGTGGGCCACAAATTTGCCACTGATATATTTAGTGATCGTTTCCCCTGTTCTTTAGTGTTATTCTACTGTAATTTCAAATGTTATATGTATTAGGTTGTTTTAAAATATTTGTTTGTATAAACCCCAGAATAACACATTTCCGATTGCTTATTTGAAGGAAGCAAACAGGTGTAAGAAAAGGTAGACCCAGAGGTCTTTGACCAAATCTGAAAGATGGATTGACTCATTTGAGAATATTGGTGGTATTCAGTAAATCACTGTGCTTCTCAGTGTAGGTAATTTTACAGATAAGGCATTAAAAGATGAACTGAAACCACAAATATAATCCAGTGAAGTACTAAAGAAAGCATAGACAAATGTGAAATTACTAAAGGCTGTAGAAATTACTTAAAATATTGTTTTAGTCCTCAATTCCAGGGATAACTTTCAATTTCAGGCTATGTGCTTATTAATTGATTTTCAATTATAACACCTGCCATATAGAGTTTAGGTACTTTGTTAACAGAATAGAATAAAAGTTAAAATCTATTATTTAAAAAATGTGTACCTTATTAAAATTAGAATACACCATTTGTCATAGATGATGTAGCCATTTATATGAATATCTTCAACTTAGTTACCTCATGTATTTTATATGCAGATAAGACTTAGTAATACATTTTACCCAACACTGCATAAAATTAAATCACATTTTCTAGTGACTTTTTAATATTTCAGCAGTACCTAATAAGAAATAAATTAAAACTAAAATTGAGTAGTTATTAAATCCACCTTTATTTCTAAAATAAAAATATTATTTATTAACCCAAAGTAAAATGCTGCCTAAATTAGCATTTCCACTTTAAAATAATTTTTAAAATCTTCACTATTTGACCATATGTGTCTTCTTTGATGTGAGTATATTAAGACTCTTTTTAAAAATGTGAATATTTGGTTTCAAGAAATTATCAAATTACCATATTTCACCTAACATTCCACATAGTTAAAGACAAAAGTTTAAGAAAAAGTTTTTTGGCAGTAGATTAATTATTTCATTGAATTTCATGTTTACCAATTGATTATTTTTTTCTCTGAATGACTCAGAAATTTCGCCCCAATCTCAGAAACAATAGCCCTACATTGGAATGTCATTGATAGTGGAACATCAGAGTCTCTAATATTTACATGTGCATTGATTATTTTACAGGCTTGTCTCGGAGGTATTGCAGGTTTGGCTTCAGACCATTGCCTAAAGCTAATATCGCAATAAAGTGAGACACAACAAATTTTTTGGTTCCCAAGTGCATATGAAAGTTATGTTTACACTATAGTATGTTAACTGTGTAATGCATTATGTCTTAAAACAATGTATGCACCTTAAATAAAAAAGACTTTACTGTTTAAAAATGATAAAGATCATCTGAGCCTTCAGTGAGTCATAATCTTTCTGCTGGTGGAAGGTCTTGCCTTGATGTGGACAGCCACTGACTGATTAGGGTGGTGGTTGCTGAACATTGGGGTAGCTGTGGCAATTTCTTAAAATGAGACAATAATGAAGTTTGCTGTAACTGCCCCTTCCTTTCACAAAAGATTTCACTGTAGCATGTGATGCTTTTTAGCAACATTTTACCCACAGTAGAACTTCTTTCAAAGGAGGAGTTAATCCTCTCAAACCCTGCCACTGCTTTGCTGAGAAAGTGTACGTAATCTAAAACCTTTGTGGTCCTATCAACAATGTTCATAGAATCTTCACTAGGAGTAGATTCCATCTCATGAAACCACTTTCTTTGCTCACCTAGAAGAGGCAATTCCTAATCTGCTCAAATTGTATCAAGAGATTACTGCAATTTGATTACATCTTCAGGCTCCATTTCTAATTCTAGTTCTCTTACCATTTCCACCACATCTATAGTTACTTCTTCTACTGAAGTCTTGAATGCCTCAAAGTTCTCCATGAATGTTGGAAATCAACTTCTTTTTAAAGTTCCTGTTAATGTTGATGCTTTTGCCTCTGACAATAAGTCAAATGTGTTCTTAATGACATCTAGAACGATGAATCCTTTCCAGGTTTTCAATTTACTTTGCCTAGATCCATTAAAGGAATCACTATCTATGGTAGCAATGCCCTTATGAAATGGATTTTTTAAAATAATAAGTCAAAATTACTTCTTGATCTATGAGCTGCAGAATGGATGTCATGTTAGCAGACATAAAAACAATATTCATCTCCTTGTAGATCTCCATCAGAGCTCTTGGGTGACAAAGTACATTGTCAATCAGCAGAAATATTTTGAAGAATTTTTTTTTTTTTCTGAGTGAAAGATCTCAACAGTGAGCTTAAAATATTCAGGAAATCATGCTGTAAAACAGTTATCCTCTAGACTTATTGTTCCATTTCTAAAGCACAGGCAGGGTAGACTTGACCAGTTCTAAAGGACCCTAGGATTTTCAGAATGGTAAATGAGCATTGGTTTCAACTTAAAATCGCCAAATGCATGAGCCCCTAACAAATGAGTCAGCCTGTCCTTTGAAGCTTTGAAGCCAGGCATTGGTTTCCCCTCTCTTGCTATGAAAGTCCTGGATGGCATCTTCTTACAATGACAGGTTGTCTTGTTTACACTGAAAAAGCTGTTTAGTGTAGCCACTTTCATCAATGATCTTAGCTAGATATTCTAGATAACTTGCTGTAACTTCTACATTAGCACTTGCTGTTTCACCTTGCACTTTTATGTTATAGGAGCAACTTCTTTCCTTAAACCTCATGAGGCAACCTCTGCTAGGTTCCACCTTTTTTCTGCAGCTTCCTCACCTCGCTCAGTTTTCATAGAATTGACAAGAGTAAGGGCCTTGCTGTGGATTAGGCTTTGGCTAAATGGAATGTTGCGGCAGGCTTGATCCATCCAGAACACTACAAATGTCACCATATCAACAATAAGTCTATGTGACTTTTTATTATTTGTGTGTTCACTGGAGTAGCACTTTTAATTTCCTTTCAGAACTTTTGTTTTGCATTCACAGCCTGGCTAACTGTTTGACCCACGAGGCTTTGCTTTCAGTCTACCTCAGCTTTTGACACGTCTTTCTCACTGTTTTATTATTTCTAGCTTTTGATGTAAAGTGAGAGATGTGCAACTCTTTCTTTCATTTGAATGCTTAGAGGCCATTGTAGCGTTATTAATTGGCCTTATGACAACATTGTTGTGTCTCAGGGAATAGCGAAGCTCAAGGGGAGGCAGAGAGATAAGGTAACGGCCTGTCAGTGGAGCAGCCAGAACACACCAGTTTATAGATTCAGTTTGCTGTCTTATACGGGGGCAGTTCATAGCATCCCAAGACAATTACAATAGTATCATCAAAGATCACTTATCACAGATAAACATAATAGATCTAATAATAATTTAAAATATTGGGAGGATTTCCCAAACATGACACAGAGACAGAAAGTGAGCAAATGCTGTCAGGAAAATAGCACCCATAGACTTGCTTGATGCAGGGATGGCACAAACCTTCAATTTGTAAAAACTTCAATATCTGTGAAACAAAATAAAGCAAAGAAGAATAAAAACAGGATGCCAGTATTGATTTATTAGTAGATATTTATTATAATTATTGGAATGTGATAGATGCTGGACTTATTGTAGTGAACAACAAATGCTGAATTTCATGCCCAAGAGATATTCATAACAGGACATTATGGGCTGCAGGCATACATTGGAGTCCTAACCTCCAGTAACTCAGAATGTGACTGTATTTAGAGATGGAGTCTTTAACGAGGTAATTAAGTTAAAATGACTTTATTAAGGTGGACCCTAATCCAACCTGACTGGTGTCCTATAAAAGAAGAGGAAATTTGTACCCAGCCAGATAGAGAAATGATAATGGGAGAAGAGAGCCATCTATAAGCCAAGAAGAAAGGTCCCAGAAGAAACCAACCCTCCTAACTCCTCGATCTAGAACTTCTGGCCTCCAGAACTATGAGAAATTGAATTTCTATTGTTTAAGCCACCCCTTCTCTTGAATCTTAGTAAAGCAGCCCTAGAAAATTAATACGAGTATATAGAATGTGATTTTGCTATGCTACGTAAAACACAGTGTGCCATAAGCTGAACAAAAAGGGACACTTAACTTGGACATAGAGGCAGCTTCATGAACATACAGTCGTTGCAGTCAAACAAAGATTTGTGCTTAGATGGGTCCTTGGATTGGTGTGATGCATTGCTGTCACCAACTTAAATTTTCTTTTCTTTTTTTTGTTCTTTTTTTTTAACCAAGAAGGCTCACATTTTTATTTTGTGTTGGTTTGCACAAACTATGTAGCTGGCCCTGTTTGAATTGTGGGCTTACAGGATACATCCTAGAGAAACTTAAAGGATGAGTAGATTAGTAGAACTAATGTGCTCAGCACATTGATCACACATGTGAGTCCTTAAGTGTGAATTATGTGTGTATGTGTGCATATGTATATGTGTGTGTGCATGTGTGTGTGTGTTGGAGGGAGAAGGAAATATTAAGTTAAATGAATACAAATACAGTAATTTAAATTCAATTTCAAACATAATCCTAGATATAGTGACAAGAAATTGATTTTCAGCACCATATTTTTATTTCCATTTAAGATTGGACACATAGAATTAAAACTGAGGAATAATTGTCCATCCAGGAAATTTTAGTGATGTAAAATTTATGTGGCTGTTGTTGGCATTAAATGACAAACCACATGTAAGGTACGGTGTGCATAATAGCCTTCATACTCTTTATTTGCTCTCCTTTTTATTTAGTGATTTTCATAATTGTGAAATTTTTATTGCAGTCTCCAATTTTAGCTTCTTACTAGAAAAAATATTTTTAGAGCACGAAGACTTTAAAAATCCTTAGCCCATTTCCTCATTTTTCATGGTTGTTCAATCAATCCCAGCTTTGTATATATCATTAATAGAGCTTTTAGAAACAGAGGACAGAGAAAATGCATGTGAGGTGATTGTCAAAGAAATAATACACTTTCCAAATTGTGGCTCCTTAGCTTGCAAGGGTTTACTGATTTTCTTATCAAAAATCTGGAATATCATTTTTGAAGTTTCAGGACAAAATTAATTTAAAAAATTTTGAAAGATGAGACCAACAGAGATATGGAGAATTTTACTACAAAGTCATGAAAGCAGAGATCTGACTGGTGAGTATTGAAGAATGTAGTAGTGTATGCATTATTATGCCCCCCCAATATTTTTTTCAAACATAACTTTCAGGCCTCAGTTAGCATGGATTTACAATACAAAATTACAGGATTATTCCCACATTCCAGTCATTTAGGTTCTATGTATTTTACACCATTTATCACACCATATTAAAATTGACACTAACAACTCATTTTATTGCTAGGTAGAGAACTTCTAAAGAGTAAGATTTATATATTTCATTTCTGTTTCCTGAGTACTTAGTTCAGTGTCTAGCAAATAATGACTAAGCAATGAATAGATATTGAATAAATGCAAAACTAATGGGCATCTAGATGGTTATATGGCATTATAATTCAATAAGGGCAATCTAGGAAAAAACATGAAAGATCACTTAAGAAGCCATATATTTTTAAAGGAAAATTTATATTTAAAATGAAAATAAAATAAACATCTCAAACAAAATGTGATTTTGAATACTGTTTTAGAAGACACTATTAACTACTAGATATGTATTATTCGAAGTATGTTTG
Organism: Homo sapiens; assembly: GCF_000001405.40. Classification (NCBI taxonomy): domain Eukaryota; kingdom Metazoa; phylum Chordata; class Mammalia; order Primates; family Hominidae; genus Homo; species Homo sapiens. The sequence goes on along the minus strand of NC_000011.10, from coordinate 98,668,357 downwards.
AAAGGGCAGAAATTTTTAAAAATCGCTATTAATCAGAGGTGTTTTGAATCAAATGATTCTACTTACAAACTATACAATTAGAACCTGTGTATATTAAGTAAGTACATGAATGCTTCCTGCTGGTTACTAAATTGCTTGGTCAAATAAGTATATTTCATTTCTTTGAAACAAATATATAAAACTCAGTTTAGAAAAATACGTAAAATAACTTCAAAGATGCGTTACTTGGAGAAAAAAAGAATGAGACTAATTCAAAAACTAAATTCGAATGATTTTTAAACCTACTTGAGATGAATAATTGCCTTGGAAAACAGAGTTTATACAATCTGATTATAGTAGACAGGTAAGAATTTTAGAAAGAAACATAAGAAATATGCAAAACACATGCTCACAGATTATTATATAAATAATAAGTTAACGTAAGACAATTTCCAATTCTTGAGAGATACAAATCTCCAGACTGAAAAGGCTCACTGTGGCTGGGAGTGGTGGCTCACGCCTGTAACCGTAGCACTTTGGGAGGCTGAAGCAGGCGGATCATGAGGTCAGGAATTCGACACCAGCCTGACCAACATGGTGAAACTCCGTCTCTACTAAAAATACAAAAATTAGCTGGGCATGGTGGCAGGCACCTGTAATCCCAGCTACTCGGGAGGTTGAGGCAGGAGAATCTCTTGAACCTGGGAGGCAAAGGTTGCAGTGAACTGAGATCGAGCCACTGCCCTCCAGCCTGGGTGACATAGCGGACTCCATCTCAAGAAAAAAAAAAAAAGGCTCACTGCATGCCAGCACAATGGACCTTAATAAAATCCACAGTTAGGTACCACTGAAAGTGGTGCAATTTCTGGTGTATATTTGAAGATAGATAGATAGATATGCATACATAGAATGATAGATTATTGATGGATGGATGGATAGATGTAGTATAGATATATAAATATATCATCTTTTATTTTATTTATTATTTGTTAATTCATTTATTTTTGAGACAGGGTCTGACTCTGTCACCCAGGCTGGAGCACAGCGGCATGATCTCGGCTCACTGCACCCTCCTCCTCCCGGGCTCAAGCCATCCTCCAACATCGGCCTCCCAAGTAGCTGGTACTACAGACACACACCACCATACCCAGCTGATTTCTGTATTTTTTTGTAGAGATGGGGTTTCACCATGTTGCACAGGCTGGTCTTGAACTCCTGAGCTCAAGCAATCTACCCACTTTGGTCTCCCAAATTTAATATATATTTTTAAATATTATGTATGCATACACATATGTATATAATATATATTTATTTAAATATATAGCTCCAAAACTATAAAAGTGCTGATATGATACCACAAGTAATCTTGAACACATTATTTTTTTACTGTATGAATGGCATGTCATATTTTTAAAAATTAAGTATTCATGTGCAAATAAGTGTAAGAAAGTAATTGCTTATCAATAGCATATACATTTAGAATCAGGAATGATGGTGATGTCAAAAAAAACCACAGTTTGCCCTAATGAGTGGCTGAAATGACTGACACCTTTGCCTTCCGACAGCTCAATGTATACAAACTTTGTTTAATGCGCAGAATTATTTATTTTATTTTATTTTATTTTTAGACAGAGTCTTGCTCTGTCTCCTGGGCTGGAATGCAGTGGCTCCATCTTGGCTCACTGCCACCTCGGCCTCCTGGGCTCAAGCAATTCTCCTGCCTCAGCCTCCCAAGTAACTGGGATTACAGGCACTTGCCACTACGCCTGGCTAATTTTTGTGTTTTTAGTATAGACGGAGTTTCACCGTGTTGTCCAGGCTGGTCTTGAACTCCTGACCTCAAGTGATCCACCTGCCTCGGCCTCCCAAAGTGCTGCGATTACAGGCGTGAGCCACTGCATCTGGCCTAATACACATAATTATTAATAATATTATATACAATTACATTTAGACTATATGTATAAGAGAAATATAAAGCATAAATTTTTTGTTTAGACTGGGGCTGATGCCCAACATATTTCATGTATATGCATATATTCCAAAAATCCAAAATAACTCAAAATTCGAAACACTTCTGGTCCCAAGTATTTTAGATAAGGGCTACTCAAATTGTGTTATAATATGTTATACATTATCTGAACCTGACATAGGATGCAGTGGTACTCAAACACCTAATAATAGAAAACACCTGGGAAACACATTAATATATTTAACGTTTTGGTTCTATTTTAGGCCTACTGAATCAGAATCTCAAGAAATAAGCATAGAAATCTGTATTACAGGTATGTTTTGAAACCTATTTACTATGGGAAGGTTTTAAACATTTTTGAGCATGGACAATAAAAGATTATTTATGAAAGACTACTATGACAATAATGAATAACATGTATTAGCTGTGGAAGAAACTGATGATAGCGATATATGCTGTTTTGGCATTATTCTAGAAAATATTGAATGATTCCTTTAAATGGAGGGACTGTAGCTATGGAGAGGTGAATCAGGGCAAATAGAACATAAATAAAGAGAATCAGCAAGATATAATGATGGAAGTCAAATCATTTATAATATTTCCAAAAGTAATCTTTATATTGAACATTAATTATTTTCTGAGGTATTCCCTGAGTAAGATATAATTATGTATAATATCTGAACACTTTTTGATGTTCTTAAGTGATCACTGACACAGGTTCATCACTTTTGAACTGGGATTAGCATCTTTTTTACCTGCAAATGTCTAGACACTTGGGTGATACAAAATACAATTTTCAGGGAGATACAGCTTTTGAAAATTTACCTTGTCAGTATATCAATTCAGTATATTGCTAGTGTAGGAGACCAGATTATGCCACCCCAAAATATGCCTCTTTTGCATGAAGACTGTTTTGAGCTGAAAGCAATTAAGAAAAAGCAGATGCAAGAAAGCTCTCTGACCTTCATTTGCCTAATATCAAGACACAAATTTACACAGACAAAAGGTATTACTCACCTACCTCCTACAAGGAGGAAAAAGGTTAACCTCTCAAGGCAACTTTAGACCCCCATGGGCCTGAAGATGACACCAGAGGAATCTACATTAACAAGGTTCACTAACAAGCCTTTATCTGCCATTTAGCTGTCACAATTTGTTGCCCCCAGAGAGATTCACAGTCCTTTTTCTTTGTCATATCACTTCTCTAAAAATTTACTGTTCTTTTTTTGTTCCAATTTAGAGCTCATGAGGGGTAAAGAATTTTTTTCCTCCCCTATAGTTATTTCAATTCAACAACTACAACAATAAAACAGAATATGTAAAGCACTATGCTAATCATTAAAGATCCACTAAGTAAATAACAATCTCTGGTCTCCAGGAAAGCATAAAACTACATATAGCTTTAGAAATACCTATTATTTGTGATTACTTATTTCGCAAAGATAGAATAAAGCCAAATTAAAGAAGGTCTTGAATTCTGGCTCAGAAGTTTGTACCTAATTTAGCAGACAATGAAGAGCATTAAAGGACAATGAGCAAGGGAGAAATGTCTATATTGCTCTTTTGGAAGCTCAATGTGATAAAACAAATTTGGGCAGAGAAGGAAAAGGAGTTGCAGCCGGGTACGGTGGCTCATGCCTGTAATCCCAGCGCTTTGGGAGGCCAAGGCAGGCGGATCACGAGGTCAAGAGCTCGAGACCATCCTGGCCAACATGGTGAAACCCTGTCACTGCTATAAATACAAAAATTAGCCAGGCATGGTGGCGCACACCTGTAGTTCCAGCTACTCGGGAGGCTGAGGCAGGAGAATCGCTTGAACCGGGGAGGCAGAGGTTGCAGTGAACTGAGATCACAACACTGCACTCCAGCCTGGGCGACACAGCGAGACTCCAACTCAGAAAAAAAAAAAAAAAATCATAATAAAATAGGTGATAATCAGATGTCACAGACCAGCATAGTTATAATTGGAAGAAAACAGAAGATAGGTATCAATTTAAAATATATTTCAGTTATAAGATGTGCATGATTGACACATGGTTGGGTTCGGTATGCAAGTATAAAGGAAAATGTAAATTAACATAAATCAAGAGATTAACAGAAAAGAGGTAAATGGTTTTATTGTGTCTGTTTTACATTCACAGGCAGATTAACCATGAAACTAGTGAAATTTAAGCTTCAGAAATACTGAAAAAAAAGGGGCTTCTTTTGATGTCTTATGAAAGGACCTAGAAATTTGTTCCCCAAACCATACGTTTTTGTAAAATTTTTAAAAGTGAGATATTTTAATCACACTCCATTAAGACTGCTGCTTCTTTCCATTCTGACTTTCATTTTATCAAACATGTTGGGTAACCTCAAGTGGCTGCAGGCATTTTTATGATCTAGCTATGGGGAAGCTCACTTGCTGAAATATTTAGTTTAAATTGTATAGAATATATTCTTCTGCTTCACTGTCAGTTTCCTGTATAATTGAGTTATTCCTACTCATCTTGGTATTAGAATGGCTTCTAGGATTACATGTACTTCCCACTCGGCTGATTCAATCAGCATCAAGATGGAGAAATGCAAAGTCAGATATATGATTCAAACATACTCTTTGGAATTTGTGGGGGATAAAAGAATAAAGTATTTGAAATGCATGGCCCTGGAAGACAGTCTATGGAAATTCTACCTATCTGCAGATGTGTAAAATTGTAAGCAGTGGAGTTAATATTAATTGATGATATGAAAATGGAAATTTCCACATTTGATAAATATACTTGATCATGTAGCATATCCAGTTATAAAAAGTACTAAATATTTATTCGTTCTTAATAGAGGTGCATTATTTATTAAGCTTGTTGATAAGCCACTTTAAGTGCAATTTGGAAAGATGTTTTGGAGCATTTCAATAAAACGAGTGAGAAATTACTGGTGTCTGATTTGGACATAAGAGAGAAACTTTTAAAAATAATTCTATTAGATAATGTATTAAGCAGTTAAATGCTCATTAAATAATTAATTAACAGAAAATTCAGATTAATATGATTATGAAATAAGGACTACAAATAAGTAGAAACAAGCAATAAATATTTTGATATCTATACATAAATTTTAACCAAAATAATGGATACTATCAATCCAGCAACTCATTAAAGTAAATTTGAATGAATGGATGTGTTTTTGCATTGTTTGATAATCCAATCAACTAAGAGGAATGGACTACATGGACACTGGAAACATTTTAAATCTCTTGATAAGACAAAGAGATTTATATGAAACAAAATAGTAGCATTGATGAAGATAAGATAAAACTCAAATATTCCCATGTATTATGTACATTGATAACAAACTGGTTAATAAGTAATAATTCAAAAAGACTTAAGCAAATTCATGGAAAAACTTGAAAACTTTAAAAGTTTAGTTTATCTAAAAACACACTTGAGAGCATTTTCCCAATCTGACAATCCTATAAATGTTAACTGAAGTTGCCAATAAGTAGTGAAAATGAAAATAGCATTTTTTTTTTTTTTTTTTTTTTTTTTTTTTAGATGGAGCTTCACTCTTGTTGCCCAGGCTGGAGTGCAATGATCTCGGCTCACTGCAACCTCCACCTCCCAGGTTCAAACGATTCTCCTGCCTCAGCCTCCTGAGTAGCTGGGATTACAGGCATGAACAGCCATGCCCAGCTAATTTTGTATTTTCAGTGGAGACAGTGTTTCTCCATCTTTGTCAGGCTGGTCTTGAACTCCTGACCTCGGGTGATCTGCCCTCTTCAGCCTCTCAAAGTGCTGGAATTAATCCCAACACTTTGGGAGGTTGAGGCGGGCGGATCACGAGATCAGGAGTTCAAGGCCAGTCTGGCCAATATTGTGAAACCCCATCTCTAGTAAAAATACAAAAATTAGCCAGGCATGGTGGTGCATGCCTGTAGTCCCAGCTGCTTGGGAGGTTGAGGCAGAAGAATCGCTTGAGCCAAGGAGGTGGAAGCTGCAGTGAGCCGAGATTGTGTGACTGCACTCCAGCCTGGGTGACAGAGTGAGACTCCATCTCAAAGAAAATAAAAATAAAAATAAAATAAATTAAAAAAGAGGGCAAGATACATGTTTCAAGAAAATCAAGAGACTTAGGACAAATGTGTAAATTACTTGGATATTTTTGGAGATTAATACCTGATAGTATGCGTACTCTGTGGATCTTTAAAACATGTCTTTAAGAATAACCTACATAACATTCACCTATCATAAGTACATAAAACTATTAAATTTACCCGCACACAATCACTGTCAATGTCAAGATACATAATACATCCAGTTTTCACAGTTACTCCTTAACTCCCAGAGGTAATCACTATTTTAACTTCCATCAAAAATTAATTGCGCTTGTTAAACTCGCCTTTTGCTACTAGTTCCTTGAAGGATAAACTTCCATGTTTGTTTTACTACTGGTTTCCCAGAATCTCAATAACTGTTGGCTGGGTTAAATATTAATGAAACATTTTTCACACTTAACAGTTAATTGAGTCTTGCTTTAAAAACAACAACAAACTGTGTAATAACATAGACTACTTGTCTCTAGCTTGAATGTGCTTGTGTCTATGTCTGTTTGGTATTTGTGTGTGTGTGTGTTATAAACCTGTGAATGTGTGTTTGTGTGTGTGTGTACATGTGTGAACTGGTACCCTGATATGTAAATTTTCTCAGGTTGAAAGTCTAATGAAAGCAGAAAAAAATGCACTATATCTAATTGGCCTAGTTTATCTCTTCTTTATAACCCTTTAGTAGAATATGTATAAAATTATTAATTCAGATTAATTCAGAAAGTCTTTTTTGAAGACATAAGTTTATAGGTATATTGGGAAGTGTGAGAGCATTAGAAATAGTTGGAAAGAGAGAAAAGTGAACATCCAAATTGGATGAAAGGAACATCCCCAATATAAGCACTGGAAGAAGCAGATTATATAGTGTAAGCATATATTCAGGTGTGTGGGTAGGTGACAGGAGAAGGGAGGGAAAAGACAAATAAGGAAAAAACAAAATTAAGGTAAAGGGCAAACAGGTATGCTTAGCCCAATATGAATTAGAATGAAAGGCTAATGAAACATGATTTCAGTGGAAAATCATAACCAAATAATGGAGGTCTTTTATAATTGGGCAAGAGCTTTACTTTTTTTTTTTTCTTTTTTTTGAGATGGAGTCTCGCTCTGTCGCCTAGGCTGGAGTGCAGTGGCGCGATCTTGGCTCACTGCAAGCTCCGCCTCCGGGGTTCATGCCATTCTCCCGCCTCAGTCTCCCGAGTAGCTAGGACTACAAGCACCCGCCACTACGCCCGGCTAATTTTTTGTATTTTCAGTAGAGATGGGGTTTCACCGTGTTAGCCAGGACGGTCTTGATCTCATGACCTCGTGATCCTCCCGCCTCGGCCTCCCAAAGTGCTGAGATTATAGGCGTGAGCCACCACGCCCGGGCAAGAGTCTTCCTTTTATCCAGTTGGTAAGAAAGAAAACCTATATGTTTTTGACCTATATTTGTTTTGTTAGGGGATCCTAATTTGTGGTGCTTTAAACAAATACTTCATAAGTGCCTTCCTCTGCCATGCCCCTTTTGTTGTTCTTTTGCTTTTATTTTTGCTTTGGTGTGTGATATCAAATAAACACTGTCAACACAATCCATTATTCCAAGATATAAAGCAGTGTTATCATTTTTATTTTATGTTTCCCCGAAACATCTGAATTATTGCATTTTGCTTTATGATTCCAGTGTCTGACTGCAATCAGAGCAGTCATCTGAACTAACTCTTTGTTGGAAGTGTTTTTCTTGTTTTCTCGTTGAACCAATAGTTCTCCTTGCTACTTTGGGGCTTAACAAAAATGATGAGAGCAGGAGGCTGCTAAAACGTAGATGTTCCTCAGTTAACAAACAACAGTATTTAATTTTATCTTTGTAAACTAAAAAGACAGTAAACAGCAATATCTCTTTCTCTATATTCCAAAACAAGAATCTCCATTTTTCAGGGGCATTTTCTGGAGCTGGCTGTCCAATTAACCTTTAATAAAGGGGGTGACATGATGTTTTTATCAAATGATTCTTATTCCACAGAGATGATTGGCTCAAACTCTAACTCTGTAATTTGCTAAATCTGTAACTTGGGTAAATTACTTTACTTCCTAAGGACCTTCCTGTATAAAATGGAGATAATAGTACAACTGATTCCAAGGACTGCAGTAATTATTAATTGAGGCAATCCATGTGTCAGTGTTGACAATGTTGCTCAAGTAATTTCTGTTAGTTTTCCTTATTTCATTTGGTATTATATTGCTTTCTCTGTCTCCTGAAAGTTTTTCTCCTCATTTCGTTTCTTTTTATGGGCCATCGATTCTCAGATTACTTAAAATCTATTACAAGAAACCAGTCTTCTGAAAATTTAGATATACCCATCCTATATCATGCAAGCACAGCTCATAAATTGCTGCTTTGCTGTTGATATTTGCATTCATGCTCGCTTGCTAGACAAATCTTTATCTTCTTTAACTTTCTTGGCACACAAAAAATACTACAGCGTGTTTCAAATCAGAGATCTATGACTTCCTTAGTGTCAATTTGAATAAATTTGCACCCAATGCTACCGAGACTACTGTTCAGATTATTCACTAAAATGGACAGTTTATCACAGTTAACTTCAAGCAGCCTTAGAGCTATATGAATAATAGCAAAATTTAAGCTTAACTCCAGATATTTAGACCTTGGGCAGATATATTATCCACGAAGTTTATGGAGTGTGCCTTGATGGAGAGGACAAGCAATTGGTGTCATCATCTAGACTCTTGGGAAGGTTCCAGGAACGCTCCAGAAATGTATAAATCAACACACTTCTTCAAATTACGCAAATGCTCATTTTTTTTTCTAGTTCAAGGGCCTTCATACTCTTGAAGAAGGAGTTTTTTTGAAGACCAGTATTACTTTATTTTATTTTAATTCTAAGTTGTCAATATCTTGATCATTTGGACTCATAATCTCACACCTTTTATTACCTCAGTATATTACAAAAATTCAAAGATAATACAGGATTTCTGAATATTTATTTGTAGTGGTTTTATTAAGTTTGCCTCTCACTTTCTAAAAATAAATAAGAAGAATGGTATTAGCCAGTTCAATATGCTGTCATGTGATCCTTGGCAATGGGGATAAATTCTGCAAAATGTGTCATTAGGTAGTGTTGCATTTTACAGACATCACAAAGCATACTTACACAAGCCTATATGGTATTGCCTACTACACACCTAGGCCATATGGTATAGCGTATTGCTCCTAGGCCACAAACCTGTACAGTATATTACTGTTTGGAATATTGTAGGCAATTATAACACAATGGTAAGTATGTATCTAAACATATCTAAGCAGCAAAGGTCTAGTAAAAATGCAATATTATAATTTTAGGGGACTACCATTGTATATGTGGTCTATCCTTGACTGAAAGGGCACATGACTGTTCAAAATTTTTGTTTCGTTAAAGGCTATGCTAAGTAACTTATATTAAATGCTTCATTTTATTTAAGTCTTTCGGATCATCTCCATAGTATTTAACTAAGATTAACAGACAATAAGTCCATTAAAGGTATACGCTGAAATTATTAATACATATGAAGGAGAAGACTTGAATTTTTATTCTAGCTGGATTGCAACTTGTGTGATCATGCTCTTTCACAGACAGCATAAGTTTTAAAATTACACAACATGATCTTTTTTCTCATCTTCAAAAGGAATGAGCTAGACTATATGTTATTTCCTTTGAACTTAAATTTCTAATAGATCATATAGGTAATCTAGTAACTTTAAAAGGTAAATACACTTATTGTTGTATAATCTGTTTTTTAGAGGTAAACCTTGATATCAATAGTAAAACTCTTCCAGAAAAGTTACTTATCTTTTTCCTATCTCTGCACCTAGCGAATTGGCAGCTACCTTATTTATTATTTCGTTCCTAGTGTCTCCCACAAGTCTAGTACCTGAAGGTACTTAATAATCATTTTTGAATGAATCAGTACTCAACTGACTACATCTTTTTTTAGATGTTCAGTCTCTGCAAATATCTTAAAACAGCTTTCATGCCCTGGATTCTCCCTATGAATCATATTTCCACCTTCTAGTTTAAATATACCTGTTTTTTAATCATCACTATGTGTAAGCATGACTTAACAGAAAGCACATTGAAATCAGGCTTTAGTCTAGCTCAGTAAATTAAGTATAACCTAAAGCAACTTATTAAACATTTCTCAAAATGTTGCTACAAGAAAATACCATAAACTGAGTAGCTAATAAACAACAGAAATGTATTTCTCACAGTTCTGGAGTCTGAAAAGTCCAGGATGAAGGCACCAGAGATTTGGTGCCTGGTGAGAATCATTTTCTGGTTCAAAAATGACACCTTCCTGCTGTGTATTCACATGGTGGATGGAGTAAACAAGCTCCCTGGGACCTATTTTATAAGGGAACTAATCCTATTCATGAAGGCTTCTTCCTCATGGCCTAATCACCTTCCAAATGGCCCCAACTCCTAATGAGATCACATTAGGGATTAGGATTTTAGTGCATGAACACAGCATTCAGACCACAGTAGCTATACAATATATACCATACTATACACTTTACATCTGGTAGCAGACTTATTCTGACAATACTTGAATTGTTTATTGCTATCAATTTTTAAAATTATTTGATAACTTTCTGAAGTCATTACTCTAAATGCATACTTGGCATTACTTATTCTGTCAAAAATGTGGTGTTGAGACAGGATCTAATAATCTAGGAATTCCTGTACTTAATAGAATACTGTAGATTTCTCACAGGGTCACTTCTATTAATGAATATTAAATATGTATACTTTGTCTACTACATTGCTCAGATCTATTAGCCTAGAAATCTGATCAAAAAATGAATTAAAAATATTCTGATATGACATATTTAAACAAAATAAAAGCATCCATTGATAATGCATTTTGTAATAATTTGCAACTGGTTTCTCTTTAATTTCGCTCCTCAAATTACACTGAGCCTCAATATCAAGCTTAACAATCTATAATTATCATTACCATATGCATTCAATTCAAAACCTTGGGTCCTTTTTTATTTGATGTCAATCTTTTTTGAACAACTCACATTAACTTAAATTTTATTAATGACTTGGTATGTTACATTTTGGCCTGGAAAATTGCATTAATTTAACATATCTAAGTCACCTTTTACTATTTTGGAATGTGATCCTCTCATTCAAATTTTTCCCATATTTTTAAGTTATCATACAGTAAAATTGATACTGCTTGATGATTCAGCTTGATGTATTTTAACACATATAAAGATTCATGTAATGACCACTACAATTAGAATGGAGGAGTTCCATCATCCCAAAGCTCCCTCATACTATCTTATTTCAGGTACACATTTCCCTAACCCTTACCCTGGCATCTGCTGGTCTGTGCTCTATCACCATTTTGTTCTTTCAAGATTGCTTTATCAATGAAATCATATGACATGGAACCCTTTGAGACTGGCTTCTTTCATTCAGCAGACAGCCTTTACAGTTCATGTTAAGTTACTGTATGCATCAATAGTATGTTCCTTTCAATTATTGAGTAGCACTCCGTTGCATATAGGTACCATAATTTGTTGAGTTCCCTTACCCGTTGAAGATATTTCAGCTGTTTCCAGTTGTAGGGATTATGAATAAAGCTATAACAAACATTGCTGTAGGTTTTTATGTGAATATAAATTTGTGTTTCTCTAGGGTAAATACTTAGGAGTGGGATTACTAGGACACATAACGTATGGTTAACTGGATTAGAAATGGTAAAACTGTTTTCTAGAGTGAATACTATTTTGTTTTTGCAGAAGGAATTTGAAAGAGTTCCAATGTCTTCATATATTTGGCACTTTGTACTGCTAGCATTTTATATTTTAACCCATCTAATAAGTATGTAGTGATATCTCATCATGGTTTCAATTTGAATTTTTAATGGCTAATATCTTTTCATGTGCATATTTGCCAACCTTGTATCTGCTTTGGTGGAGTGTCCAAGCCTTGTGTCTATTTTGAAACTTGTTGTTTTCTAACAGTTGAGTTTTCAGAATTTTTTACACTCTTGAGATAAAAATAATTTTGTTGCAGATGTGATTTGTCCATGTTTTATCACAAGCCATGGGTTATCGTTTCATAAGTTTAATCGTGTCTTTAACAGAACAAATGTTCTTAACTTTACTGATGTCCACTTTTTTCAATTTATTCTTTCATAGATTGTACTTTAGGAATAGTGTTTAAAAATTATTTGCCTAACACTAGATCACAAAGATTCTCTTCTAAAAGTTTTATAGTTTGTATTTAGATATATAAGCCACTGTATTTAATATTTACATAAAAACATATTGGTTAATAATTTCTAAGTCATGGTTATTTTATTTGCGCAAGGATGTCCAATTGTTATTGGTTAATAATTTCTAAGTCATGCTTCTTTTATTTGCACAAGGATGTCCAATTTTTTTTTTTTTTTTTTTTTTTTGAGACAGAGTCTCGCTCTGTCACCCAAGCTGGAGTGCAGTGGTGCAATCTAGGCTCACTGCAAGCTCCACCTCCTGGGTTCATGCCATTCTCCTGCCTCGGCCTCCCGAGTCGCTGGGACTACAGGTACCCGCCACCACGCCCGGCTAATTTTTTGTATTTTTTAGTAGAGATGGGGTTTCACCATGTTAGCCAGGATAGTCTCAATCTCCTGACCTCGTGATCCACCTGCCTTGGCCTCCCAAAGTGCTGGGATTACAGGAGTGAGCCACCACGACCGGCCAAGGATGTCCAATTTTTTAGGCCAAATGCCTAAAAAAATTATTCTTTCTACATTGATGCTTCTGCAACTTTGTCAAAAATAAATTGACCATATTTCTATTGGTCTATTTCCGAACTCTATTATGTTCCATTGATCTATGAGTATGGTGTTTTGCCAATACCACGCTATCTCAATTACTGAAGCTTAATAGTAAGTCTTCAAACCAGAGAGTGGTTCAACTTATTTCTCTTTTTTAAAAGTTTTGACAATGGAAGTTTCCTTTTCTGCTCTTCAAGCCAAAACTAGAGGGCTTCTCTTAGGGCTCTCTCTGTGCCCTACTGTCCATTTCCAGGTATTACTTCTGCCCAGAGTATACTAGAGGACAGAGGGGGGAGGAAACACACTGTCCGTTTGGTGACACATTGATTTCTGGTCTTCATTCTCAATCCACCTATTTTTTTTTTCCAAAATATTCAGCTACTTACTCTGTCTTACTGGTAATCAGAACTCTCCTTTAATTTTTCTCTTAAGCAATTATTTCAGAAGAAAAAGAAGGATGTGGTATTTTTATAGAAATAAAGGGTATGTACTCTTTTCCTAAGAGTACATTTTCATAGGGAGGGGTAATAGAATCAAGTGTTTCAGGTGGAGGATATGTATGGGAAACAGAGTGGTTATATAGTCAAAACAGTAAGACAGAGACATAAAAAAAAAAAAGAGAAAAAAATGCTAGTACTACAAGGAGTGAAAAGAACGGTGATCCCAAAGCCAGAAAGCCTAGCTTCTTCTATGTTGGGAGAGATTTTAACTAAGCAATCTTTAAGGTTCAAGTCAAACTGCTGTTAATGTAGCTCTAAATTATCTTGGCTCTCTGGTTAGTATTTATTTATTTTAATATAACTTAAAAGAACTGTCTGTGTTCTCAGGACTATGGTGCTGGGAGACTTTAATGAACTACGGTGTGTAGAGTAGGCAACAGGTTTTAGAGCACTTATTTAATAGGAGCTTGAGTTGAAGTGTGAGAGAAGTCATTTCAGGTTGAGTGATTTTTACCAACTGATTTTCCTCTCCTTCAGTTTTGATTTAAAAAATGCACCTAAAACTAAGGAGTTTCCACACTTTGTGTTCTACTAAGAATATATCATTTATATAAAAGGCTTTGTTCTTATAATAAATTTACTTATTATCATATATATTTGTGCATTATGTATTTTTCATAAGCCTCTTAACACAACATAAGTTGTCATATTTGAAGTGTCCTATAAAAGTAATGATCTAAAACTGTTAAAGCATAACTTGAGTCTCTGATTCAAAAAGAATATATCTTTTTTTCTTTTGAGAGATATTCAACTTACGGCTAACAAACTTTGGGAACTTCCCCAAGCCTTCTCATAACATCATAAGAGAACCATCAAACTTTCCAAATCTGCAATAAACTAGGTAAGTCTTTTTTTAGAATAGGAAGACAAATCATGGTGGAACCAAAATTATTTCAATTGGGTTGACAGCTTTTCAATTTACACAAAGCTTTTAGCCTGCTGTTATCTTTGCTTTTACCGATTTAAGTGCATTAACTCCAAGGCTGGTTTTAAATTGAACGTTTAAATTAATGCATTGTCAATTTGTTGTTATAGTAAAGGAAAAAAATTAAGTTAGAAACATGGATGTAGAGAAATAATGATACACACTCGATTTGCTATTTTAAACCAAATATACTCTGCCATTATCCATGTTGCCGTTACCCATGTAAACCTAATGACATCTGAGGCAGTATTGGCAAAGCCCATTAACAATATGTTCTTTTTTAAAGCTAGAGTAAATTGTTGTTCAAAAATAAACGATGTTATTGTGTATGACTGACTTGGTATGCACCTAGGACCTCCGATCAGGTTAGCTAAAAGAAAAAGAGGAAGGAAACATAATGATGTTAATTAGCATCAGGTCCATGCTGAAGTGATTTTCTTTTAGATATTCAACTTCACCTTAAATGAAATACGAGGTAAATCGTTGGCAGAGTATTTAGCTGCAGAGAAATTGGTTTCTCAATGCTTTTTTTTTTTCCTGAGAAGAATTTAGATGATACATAAACAACACAGTGCAAGCCCAATTTCTTCCTCCCTTGGGCTTAAATGTCCTTGGGCAAGGAAATAAAAATAATCGCCATATTTTTTTCTGTCCTTCTTTAGTCTTATGCATTAACCTGTAATAGCTGGTCACCTCCAGATGACCTTGAAGTGCTCATTTCCTAACCCAAAATAGGGATGTTTGTGAAAGTGCATAAATGCATAAATTGACAGACTAAGGCTGTTGACATAGTGAGGCTGTTTAGTTTAGGACAGCCGAATAACTGACTGCTGTAGAAGCCTAGACAGACATACGGGTTGCTTTAGCTAGTAATTTCTTCTCATCCTTCATTAAGTGTTTTTACCACTGTGTAGGTACCGTCTTCCCTAGAGGGAAAAATCCTAATTTAAAAGAAAAAATGATTCCATCAGAAATCTATGGAACAAAAAGATGTGGTTAGCCTGATTTTTAAATGGTCACTCCCACATACTTCTGCAAAATTTGAATTTGACCTCACTGGTATATCATTGGATATACAGCAGAATATATAGGCTTTTGTAGAACACATAGATCTTTGTGCAGTTTTTCAGACGGAAATGAATTGTGAGGCATCACAACTCTATACCTAATCAATTAATTTTTCTACCACTACTTTGTTTTCCCCTGCATATTTTTGTTTCTGTCTGTTTATAGAACACCTGATTTTCTTCACTTCTTGATATCCGGTTCACGTTTTAAGTAATGTTAAAACAGAGCGTCTAGGATGGATTCCTTGGTAGAGGTCACTTCTCTTCTGAATTTTCTTCTTAAATCTGTTCCATATGTATGAAACTTGTTTTCCATGTGCCTCACATCTCTTTCTTATATTTTAAGACTTATAAGTGCAAGCAAGCATTGTGTCCTACCATGGCTTATGATTTTTTTTTTTTTACTACAAATCTTAACACAATCTTGCATACACAGGTGGTCAGTACATCTAGGCTGAATTAATTTAACAGGGAAAATGTTTCTACAGGTACTTTACAGGGTAATTCAAATATTAAAAAAATTCTAATTTTCCTGGAAGGCAGTTCACATCATTTGGACTTAGATCAGATACAACGAAGAGACATTCTGGGGGACATTTTGGGAAACGGGAAAGCCATTTCATGAAGAACCTTTTATGATACTGAAAAGGAACAGCCCTTAGTATCAATCAAATCTAAGCTTCAATGTCCATGAGTATTACTAACTGGCTTTCCTCTTGCTATTCTTACCTTTTTCTCACTTGCAATACACCTTCCACTTTAATCCTAGAAAAGTGTTGGGAATTCCACATGTGATATATTCACCTTTGCCTAACATTCTCCCAAGCTTCCTCACAATATTCAAAACAATATTCAAACCCATTAGCATAATACATAGTGCCCTTTAATATATTTCTCCATACTTTTCTCTCTAAAAAATTCCATTGAACACCACACATTTCTCCCTAAAATATTTCATTCATCATATATCCTCCTGTCTTGTAAGTCCTGTGCCTAGAATAAACTTCTCTTTAATTTTGGCCTTATTTTCTTTCAAAACTTCTAATTATGCCATCTCTTCCAAGAAACCATTTTTTTACACCTGAGTTGGATTTGTATTTCTATACAAGCTATTCAAGTACCTCCACCATTGGACTGGTTGCAAGCTCCTTGAAGGAAAATCCCGTGCTCAAAAAAATGGAAAATAACTCTACTTGTCTATACTTGTCATAGATACTTCCGTAATCAAAAATTAGGACATGTCTTACAACAGGGAATAGACAGTGAACTGAGAAAGGTTGGCAAATCACAGGGTAGAAAATAAATTGTTATGGCTTTTATTCTGCCCCTGTTTTTAGCTTTTCAGTCCATGTACCAACCTGGAGTTCTGAGCTCAAAGATCCTGTAAAGAACCTAGCTGCCTTCAACTTAATTCTGCTTCTATTATTTGACGTTTGAAATGTTTTGCTGGGAGGTGGTGTGAGGCTACTGATCTCCATACAAAATTTGATAAAAAGTTTAAAATGTACAGAGTAATGGTTAAGGGAATTCACTGGGGGGAAATTAAAAAGCACAAATAATGAATCTAAATTAGCAAAATTTGATATGTAGAAAGTAGGTGAGGAGGTAGAACCTCTTCTTAGGTAGAGAAAATGAACAGACGAAGAAGATGAAAAACTTTTCACCCTTTTGCTTCTGCCAATGCTCAGGCCTGACTTTATAATGAGAGGCTAATGTGACTGAGCAGGCTAGAGAGCAGCTCAAATGTCACCCCTTAACTTTCCCTCTGTGACTCCCAAATCAGAAATCTCCATTCCTGAGAGCTCGTAGGTTTCCCTGGAGCTGCTACACTCTCAATTTGTTTAACATATTTCATAGCATTTAACTCAAATCTATATATAGCAAATTGGTTGCCCTAAAAATCAGAAATGGATATTCTTCTCATATCTAATAGTTATTTTATGTAGAAGAGATTCTATGCAATGCTTGGTGTGCAGAGGTCCACATTCTCTAATCTTCATAGCTGGATAGAGAACAAGGTATCACAAAACTATTTTTTTTTCAGAGTTACTTGATCTTACAGAATTTTATCACAGATCAATTGAGTGATGTCATAGGAGTAGTTAACTGTATGTTATGAGACAGCTTCTAAAACAAAGTATTATTATATTAGGAAAAGTAAAAAGTGGTTATTAGAAAAATGCATTTGGGTTTTAGGACCCTATTGCTGAGTATTAATTTTTTTTTTTTTGAGATGGAGTTTCGCTTTTGTTGTCCAAGCTGGAGTGCAATGGCACGATCTCGGCTCACTGCAACCTCTGCCTCCTAGGTTCAAGCGATTCTCCTGCCTCAGCCTCCCAAGTAGCTGGGATTACAGGTGCCCGCCACCACACCTGACTAATTTTTGTAGTTTTGGTAGAGACAGGGTTTCACCATGTTGGCCGGGTTGGTCTCAAACCCCTGACTTCAGGTTACCCACCCACTTCAGCCTCCCAAAGTGCTGGGATTACAGGCATGAGCCACCGTGCCTGGCCTTAAATTTTTATTTATTTATTTATTTATTTTTTATTATTATACTTTAAGTTTAGGGTACATGTGCACAATGTGCAGGTTAGTTACATATGTATACATGTGACATGCTGGTGCGCTGCGCCCACTAACTCGTCATCTAGCATTAGTTATATCTCCCAGTGCTATCCCTCCCCTCTCCCCCTACCCCACAACAGTCCCCAGAGTGTGATGTTCCCCTTCCTGTGTCCATGTGTTCTCACTGTTCAATTCCCACCTATGAGTGAGAATATGCGGTGTTTGGTTTTTTGTTCTTGCGACAGTTTACTGAGAATGATGATTTCCAATTTCATCCATGTCCCTACAAAGGACATGAACTCATCATTTTTTATGGCTGCACAGTATTCCATGGTGTATATGTGCCACATTTTCTTAATCCAGTCTATCATTGCTGGGCATTTGGGTTGGTTCCAAGTCTTTGCTATTGTGAATAGTGCCGCAATAAACATGCGTGTGCATGTGTCTTTATAGCAGCATGATTTATAGTCCTTTGGGTATATACCCAGTAATGGGATGGCTGGGTCAAATGGTATTTCTAGTTCTAGATCCCTGAGGAATCGCCACACTGACTTCCACAATGGTTGAACTAGTTTACAGTCCCACCAACAGTGTAAAAGTGTTCCTGTTTCTCCACATCCTCTCCAGCACCTGTTGTTTCCTGACTTTTTAATGATTGCCATTCTAACTGGTGTGAGATGATATCTCATTTTGGTTTTGATTTGCATTTCTCTGATGGCCAGTGATGGTGAGCATTTTTTCATGTGTTTTTTGGCTGCATAAATGTCTTCTTTTGAGAAGTGTCTGTTCATGTCCTTCGCCCACTTTTTGATGGGGTTGTTTGTTTTTTTCTTGTAAATTTGTTGGAGTTCATTGTAGATTCTGGATATTAGCCCTTTGTCAGATGAGCAGGTTGTGAAAATTTTCTCCCATTTTGTGGGTTGCCTGTTCACTCTGATGGTAGTTTCTTTTGCTGTGCAGAATCTCTTTAGTTTAATTAGATCCCATTTGTCAATTTTGGCTTTTGTTGCCATTGCTTTTGGTGTTTTAGACATGAAGTCCTTACCCGTGCCTATGTCCTGAATGGTAATGCCTAGGTTTTCTTCTAGGGTTTTTATGGTTTTAGGTCTAACGTTTAAGTCTTTAATCCATCTTGAATTGATTTTTGTATAAGGTGTAAGGAAGGGATCCAGTTTCAGCTTTCTACATATCGCTAGCTGGTTTTCCCAGCACCATTTATTAAATAGGGAATCCTTTCCCCATTGCTTGTTTTTCTCAGGTTTGTCAAAGATCAGATAGCTGTAGATATGTGGCATTATTTCTGAGGGCTCTGTTCTGTTCCATTGATCTATATCTCTGTTTTGGTACAAGTACCATGCTGTTTTGGTTACTATAGCCTTGTAGCATAGTTTGAAATCAGGTAGCGTGATGCCTCCAGCTTTGTTCTTTTGGCTTAGGATTGACTTGGCGATGAGGGCTCTTTTTTGGTTCCATATGAACTTTAAAGTAGTTTTTTCCAATTCTGTGAAGAAAGTCATTGGTAGTTTGATGGGGATGGCATTGAATCTATAAATTACCTTGGGCAGTATGGCCATTTTCACGATATTGATTCTTCCTACCCATGAGCATGGAATGTTCTTCCATTTGTTTGTATCCTCTTTAATTTCATTGAGCAGTGGTTTGTAGTTCTCCTTGAAGAGGTCCTTCACGTCCCTTGTAAGGTGGATTCCTAGGTATTTTATTCTCTTTGAAGCAGTTGTGAATGGGAGTTCACTCATGATTTGGCTCTCTGTTTGTCTGTTATTGGTGTATAAGAATGCTTGTGATTTTTGTACATTGATTTTGTATCCTGAGACTTTGCTGAAGTTGCTTATCAGCTTAAGGAGATTTTGGGCTGACCTAATAGACATCTACAGAACTCTGCACCTCAAATCAACAGAATATACATTTTTTTCAGCACCACACCACACCTATTCCAAAATTGACCGCATATTTGGAAGTAAAGCTCTCCTCAGCAAATGTAAAAGAACAGAAATTATAGCAAACTATCTCTCAGACCACAGTGCAATCAAACTACAACTCAGGATTAAGAAACTCACTCAAAACCGCTCAACTACATGGAAACTGAACAACCTGCTCCTGAATGACTACTGGGTACATAACAAAATGAAGGCAGAAATAAAGATGTTCTTTGAAATCAACGAGAACAAAGACACAACATACCAGAATCTCTGGGACACATTTAAAGCAGCGTGTAGAGGGAAATTTATAGCACTAAATGCCCACAAGAGAAAGCAGGAAAGATCCAAAATTGACACCCTAACATCGCAATTAAAAGAACTAGAAAAGCAAGAGCAAACACATTCAAAAGCTAGCAGAAGGCAAGAAATAACTAAAATCAGAGCAGAACTGAAGGAAATAGAGACACAAAAAAACATTCAAAAAATTAATGAATCCAGGAGCTGGTTTTTTGAAAGGATCAACAAAATTGATAGAACGCTAGCAAGACTAATAAAGAAAAAAAGAGAGAAGAATCAAATAGACGCAATAAAAAATGATAAAGGGGATATCACTACCGATCCCACAGAAATACAAACTACCATCAGAGAACACTACAAACACCTCTACGCAAATAAACTAGAAAATCTAGAAGAAATGGATAAATTTCTCAACACATACACTCTCCCAAGACTAAACCAGGAAGAAGTTGAATCTCTGAATAGACCAGTAACAGGAGCTGAAAGCAATAATCAATAGCTTACCAACCGAAAAGAGTCCAGGACCAGATGTATTCACAGCCCAATTCTACCAGAGGTACAAGGAGGAACTGGTACCATTCCTTCTGAAACTATTCCAATCAATAGAAAAAGAGGGAATCCTCCCTAACTCATTTTATGAGGCCAGCATCATCCTGATACCAAAGCCGGGCAGTGACACAACCAAAAAAGAGAATTTTAGACCAATATCCTTGATGAACATTGATGCAAAAATCCTCAATAAAATACTGGCAAACCGAATCCAGCAGCACATCAAAAAGCTTATCCACCATGATCAAGTGGGCTTCATCCCTGGGATGCAAGGATGGTTCAATATACGCAAATCAATAAATGTAATCAAGCATATAAACAGAACCAAAGACAAAAACCACATGATTATCTCAATAGATGCAGAAAAGGCCTTTGACAAAATTCAGCAATCTTCATGCTAAAAACTCTTAATAAATTAGGTATTGATGGGACGTATCTCAAAATAATAAGAGCTATCTATGACAAACCCACAGCCAATATCATACTGAATGGGCAAAAACTGGAAGCATTCCCTTTGAAAACTGGCACAAGACAGGGATGCCCTCTCTCCCCACTCCTATTCAACATAGTGTTGGAAGTTCTGGCCAGGGCAATTAGGCAGGAGAAGGAAATAAAGGATATTCAATTAGGAAAAGAGGAAGTCAAATTGTCCCTGTTTGCAGACTACACGATCGTATATCTAGAAATTTTTAAGTCGTCTGTTTCCCTCAGTTTTTTTGTCTCTTCACATAAACTAGGGTATTGTCAAAAGTTCTAATACTGAAAGCACAAGTAATTGTATGCCACACCCCTTGAAGGGACTCAACATCAAACTCTAGCATGGACATCGGTTGAATTTGTGAGCTGTGGTACAGAGGTAATTTTTCTTTTAATACTTTATTGGTTACTTTATAAAACATAATTTCTAGGAATCATGTAAAGACTAAACATCATTCATATCAATAGAGAGTAATTTTTTTGAAACTTATGATTCACACATTACTATATTAATAAGATTAAAATAAATAAAAGGACATCAGAAACCATTACACTTTTCTTGTTCAATGACTATTTCGTGATAATGATAATGAAGATAATGAATTATTCGTTATAATAAGAGAGTGCCTAAGAAATTTAACACAAAATGGATTCAGAGAAACTATAGCTATTTTGTAAAAAGAAAAATTAGAGACCTAGATTAAAGAAATATTTTCATTATGTTTAAACTAAGTTATCTGTAAAACTGAGGTAGTAGTTATGTGGCATGGTCAAGAAACAACAGGAAATTTTGACAATGTGTTTTATAGTTCTATATTATTAGCCTCATGAACATTTTTTAAAAGTTTGTTCTTTTAGACTCTTTGTCAAAATCATTCATCATCCCTAAGTATATTCTAAACTGATAAACATTAGTCTTGGGTTTTCTTCTATTTAGGCCAAAGCAATGTCTGTATTCAGGTGAAAAACAACATAAAACATTGCCAGAGGCATGTCTCATCCAACATTTCTGCTTCAAAATACTCAGAAATATCAGTTCAAATAAAGTTTCTTCTAGCAGTGTATTTCTCCTCCTACATCGTATCCTTATAAGTAAGAAGTGGATGAGATTGTCTGTGCTTAGACTGATGGAAGCCTTGTAAGAAATTTGGAAAAAGGAGCATAGCCACAGCATTCATAATTTTTAGGCAGTGACCGAGAGAGTCTGCAACTACTGGCATTTCATCCAGCTGGCTCAGAACTAACCTTCCTTCCCTGTACACAGTTGGGAAGTTTACTGGAGAGAAGGTTGGCATATATATCCTGTGAAGTCCTTCTCATAAAGGGGAGAACATGGCCTATCCAGAACTAGGGATCTTCAACTCAACCCAAGAACTATGTTAAAGATTTCAAATAAAGACAGATGCTGTGTTTGGCAAAAAATGAATTTCCAAAATAACACTGACATGATTTTTTTTTCCTAAAATAAATCACTGAGGACTAAGCATTCTAGTTAAAAACAACACTTTGACTTGATAAATAGGAGTCTCAATAATATTCACTATGCATGATGTACACTTTTAGTTGTACATGAAGAACTTTTTAATTCACATGATGAATTATTGTCTTGTATTTGAAGATAAATATCAAAGTAGAATAATATATTTGTACCTTTGTTTCAAGAAATAATTTATTTAGAAGATACGGTGCATATTATTTTATTTAGTGAGTAAATAATATCATATATTATATTATAGTTTGAAGCAGAGGCAAAAAGCTAGAGAGAGGCTGACATGAACTTGAGTAGCTAGTCCTGTATAGTTTGGATTCACTTGTAGTGTTATGAGATGCCACTCACGAAGAATTTGAAGAGGGACATTTATATTATACTATATGTGTTTCCATAAGGTCATCATGTAACCCCTCATTAGTGCAAAGCAGGGGGTCATTTATGAGGCTATTGCAGGTGAGTAATTATAGTGTTGTAAGCCAGTATAAAAATGTGTACATAGATTACATATATATTTCTAAATCAGAACCAGTAAGTCCTCATGGCAGCACACATGTGGATGTGAGTGGAGGAAAATAAAAGAAAATATGTGAACTGGTTTTCTGGCTGGAGATAATGCTACTGTTTACTGAGATGTGGAGCCCTAGGGAAAGAACAGATATTTGTTGTTGAAAAGAGACTTAATAATTACATTTTGACCATGTTTAATGTCGGATATTGATGAGTTCTTAAGCAGATGAAAATAGACAAAATTTATCTGGAACTTGGAGGAGATGTTTGAACTGGAGATTCATAGCAGGGCATTATCAGCATATAAATGGTAACTACTTAGGGTAAATTGTGCAGGAAAGAAAATAGTATGGCCCAGGAAAGTCCAACATTAGAGAAAGAAAGCAGTAGAGTAGAAAATCCCAGCACAATAGGTAAAAAAGTGTCAGTTAGCAAGGCAGAATGATAAAAAGAAAAGGTTATATTTAGAAATGCAAGAAAAAAGGATATGGTTAATATCAAATAATTATAAAGGCATCTGTCTTTGTGCTGCTGTAACAGAATGCCACGGACTGGCTAATGTATAATAAACAGACATTTATTGACTTATGGTCCTGAAGGCTGGGAATCTAAGGTTGAGGGGCTGTTGTCTGGTGAGAGGCTTCTTGTGTTGGCCCATGCAGAAGGGCAAAGTGAGGGTGAGAGAGAGAAAAAAGAGAGCAAAACTAGTCTGTTTATAAGTAATCCACTCCCATCATAACAGCATTAATCCATTCATGAAGGCAGAACCCTCATGACCTAATCATCTCTTAAAGGTCCTACCTTTCAATACTTAGGTTAAGTATGAAATTGTGGCAATTAAATTTCAGCAGGAGTTTGGGAGTGGGTAGATATTTAAACCATGAAAGCATCCATTTCAAAAACACGAATAGTTTTACTTAAAACATATTTCTTAATTTAGTACTTCTCAGTAGTTTTTGTTTATAGATAAAAGGAAGTTCCAATTTTGTTACTAGGTAGAAGTTTTTAAGATTTCTCCAGCAGAGAACCAAATTACCAACCCCCCTTGGGGACGAGAATTGCCAAGTTGATGACATTAACTGGCAGTTTTTAAAACTCACTGCTTTCGGAAGTGATCCTTTCTTCCTTCAATGGAGTTGGTCTTAATGCCCTTATATAGTGAGAACACAAGCATATATAAAATATATACACCCATGATCTAAGCTTCATTTGTAAAGAAACAATCAGTAATGTAACATATTTGGTTTGAAGACATAGAAAATATTCAGTCGCAAACAAATCTATTGCTGTTATAAAAGAATTGTTTGACTCATTTATATAAATCTCCATTATCTTTGCAAAATGCATAAAAAGTTCTACAAAGGCATAACCCAAATTATTAATATAAAGCACTACTTCATCCATTTGACCTAATTTTCTAATTCAACCTACAAAAGCTCCTAGTAAGTGGCAATGCCTAGTTTTTTATTTTATTTCTTTTTCTTGCCTTTTAAGATAGCACAAAGTATAAAGGGCTTTGAATAACCTGAAGATTTTTAAAATTTTCCAAATTCTGATTTAGTACCTGTGAAATATTGTCTGAGATTCTGTGTTGCTAACAAATTCGGAGGTGATACCATTTTTCTATGTCGTGAGCCACATTTTTTATAGAAATGATTTTAAAAATTTGCTGCCTCTGAGCAGCTTATGGGACAGCTGTAATTAGCTTTAAGAACCACAATAGATACACATATATACATAACTTAGTTTATGCATTTGTCATCTATTTCTGTATAACAAATCATCCCAGGCCTTAGTGGCTTAAAGCAATAAACACCTGTTATCTCGCAGTTTCTGTGATTCAAAAATTCAGAAATGGTGTGGTTAGGTAGTTCTAGCTCAAGGAATATCAGGAGTTTGCAGTCAGGATGGTTAGGGATGCAACCACATACAGGCTTGACTGGGGCTGCAGGATCTGCCTCCAATGTGGATTACTCACATGTCTTGCAAGAGGCCTCAGTTCCCTATCACGTAGGCCTGCCTATAAGGCTAGTGTCTTCACAACATAGCAACTAGCTTTTCTCAGAGCAGGCAGTTCAAGAGACTGTAGGCTAACACCCCCATCCCCAGACTGAGACAACTAAAATTATCCTTAAATATTTTCAAATGTTCCTGGAGCAGAGGGAGATCACCTGCTATTGAGAAGCACTGGATTACACAGTGGTGTAGATAGTAAGAGTTGCAAATCCTTGGTGGCCGCTCCAAAATGGGGACTGGTTATCTCGTTACATAAAGCAGATAATCAAAAGTTGTTTTATTTGTTGACAAATTTATATCAATGCCTTTTTAAAGAATGAAGTTAACTACTACATATAAAAAGGATTTGATACACACATGGCTTTAATAATTAAGTATAGTAGTAATTTTATTATGCATGTATAAGGCCTTATGCTGTTAACATTATTACTAATCAGTTATTACATAAAAAACTCTGCAATTTTAGTATAGAATGCTTAGCAGAAATCTGTTTATTATGGTTTATATCTTGTGTTATTTATTCCTAAACTCAAAAGGCCAAAGGCCAGAGCACATCTTCTGAATTGAAGCAACATGAGTCACACACACACACACACACACACACACACTTCAGCGTGCTGGTGCTCACAAGGAATGAAAGAGTTAACTGCAGGATACGAGAGTCATGCCTTTTTTCATTTAACGTAGATTAGCCTAAAATATAACAAGCTTTGCGCCAAATTCTGAGACTGCTCCAAATTTTTAGGATTGCTGACATGATAAAGTGATGCTCAAAATATCTTCCTTGCATCAGGCATTCCCAAATAGCTGGGAGATGAAACATTTTTAATGATTCTAAAATAATGAAATGTAAAAGGTTTTGGAGAATAACAGAACAATGTTTTGGGTAGTGAAGAGAGCAACCTGAGAGCACTGGGGTATAAATCTGGTGATTTACTACCTTACATTTCCTGAAAGGTATTTTTCCTTTATCCAAAGCTTACTGATTCTTCAGAGCTCATCTCTAGCTACAGCTCTTCCAGGAAGATTTCTGAAAGTTTATGTTTATCATCTTTGAGATCCAAAATTAGAAATTATTGGGCAATAAGACTGTGTTCTTCCTATGGCCATGCATCTAGATATGTATGTAATATCTTTTGGATGTGATTATGATTTATTTGACAGCAAGACTGACATTTTATGCCATTTGATTCGTTAGCTGTGTAGGTTTTCTAAAACATCTATTAATTGAACTTTCCCATTGCTATGGTATGAATGTTTATGTTCCTCAAAAATACATATTTGGATATCCTCACCCACAACATGATGGTATTAGAAGGTGGGTATTTAAGAGGTAATTAGATCATGGGGGCAGAGCACTCATGAGTGGGATTAGTGCTTTTATAAAGAGACCCAAGAGATACCCCTCACCCCTTCCACCATGTGAGGATACAACAAGAAGTCACATCTGTGAGCCAGAAAGTGGGCCTTCACCAGACACCACATCTTTCAGTACCTTGATCTTGGACTTCCCAGTCTCTGAAACTGTAAGCAATAAATTTCTATTGTTTATAAACTACTCAGTTGATTGATATTTTTATGGCAACTCAAATAGAATAAGACACAAAGTGACTAAAACTTTTTCTATAATTATTTCTGATAATTATAGAATCACGATACAAATTTTGTTTCAGCTGAATCTTACACAAATCGGGTAACTCTTTTTAAGAAAAATAATACAACACTGGAAATACTTAATGAGGTCCAACAATATGAACACAAACCTAAGGCTCCATCCAGGGCATTAAAAGGATTGCCTATTAAAAGGAGTCCCTATAAATGAATTAAACTCAGCTGAACCTCAGTTTAATCTAAATAATAATAATAAAATAACTTGTTCCATTGAAACCTTGAGAGGGAAATATAAATAAGTACATGAAAGAGGCTAAGAAAAGGGCCTGGAACACAGTCAACCCTCAATGAATTATTAGTTATTGATGGCTTTTGACACTTCTATTTGATGCAAATAGAAGAATTAGAAAGTTTTTTGTTTGTTTGTTCCCCAAAGAATCATACCCAGATTCCTCTGTTTCAGAATTAAGCAATTTAATAAAGGAAGAGGATATTCAAACCACATCTCTGCCACGGATTCCATATTAGAATCCATTAATTTATCCTGTTTGTGGATTTGCCAAAGACATGAAAGCAATCACATACTAATTAAAGCATTTCAGAGTGACATAGATTCACTCATTTTGTGAGTCCCCAAAGTGCCCCGCAAACTTCTTTCATACAGGGATCATTTCACCACTGAAATGAGGCCATTTCCAGGGCTGATAGCAGCAGCCAAATAGACAGTCTGCACAGAACATATGGCACAACGGTGGGGAGAGGAATGATTTTGGTGAAGAAGAGCAGAACAATTCTCACACTTGTGAAATATATTTTGCATGTCTTTAAGACTTATTCATAGCCAAAATAACATGAAATATCAGGGCTATATCTACCCAGACCAATAAGCAACACAGCTTGGAGTTCCACATGGCATATATGAAAATCATCATCTGATATTGAAATGATGTCTTCTGGAAGGTTTATCATTTCAAGACAGATACATTCAAGAAGGTATCCCTTATATCCACTTTCAGAAGTTCAGACTGCCTTCAAAGCAAGGTGAACTCCTCTGTATAAATGTGGATAAAAAATTATTTTCATTGGTCCAAATGTACTGTATCAAGAAATTCTTTGCCAGCATGTCTGCATCTTTTCAGTGCAAAATGACAAAGGTAGTAATATAACTTTCAAATTATGTCAAGACATCAGTGTGGTAATGGTAAAACTTGAAGGTGATTTCATTCAAGCTGAAGGATATTGTGCAGCATACTAGAGTATGGCACACCCTAATAGAATTCATTTACTTTGAAGTGAATTGAGGTGTTTTTTTTCTCCCCATAAATTTATGTTTGGATGTGAATCAGTAATCATACTGGCAGCCTCACTATGCATTTGTCATGGGAATCTTCAATGTCATGCATTATATGATTTGTATCCTCAAATAGTTTCAAATAAAAGTTGTCTGCCGCTTTCTGGTAGAGTGCCAAGTGAATGAATACTCGTTTGATTTGCTATCTGTACATATAGTTTTACGTCTTCTATAATTAACCTGTCAATCTAGTGTCTCCTGAAAAACTGCTGCCAGATACTGTGGAGTGTATTAAAAGCTAAAAATTCCGGTAGCAAAATTTCTTTCATACCTGTACCCTAATTTTTCTTAATAGACTAAGGCCAATTTAATATTATGTGTCTTGTTTAATTTTCCACCTGAGCTATCATTTCGCATCCTAGAAAAATAAAATAAAACCTATTCTATGATAAAATTCAGGAAGATAAACAATCAAACTTTAGTAGGGAGGAATGCGTTGAAAAGAAAATGAGGTGCAACTTTCTATTAACTTAGACTGAACACGGAACTCATATATTAACCTGTTTTCAACTGCAGAATTACTAAGCTATCAAATATTATATTTATAATGAGGTTAATGTATCCAGTTAATTAAGCTCTCTGTTATAAATAACAGTATTTATCAAATGCAAGTACTTCAGTGTTTGAACTTCTTAACATGAATAGCAGGTTAAAATAACACGAATGTTCATTAAGCTTTTATTGGAAACTATCATTAGAGAATCTACATTGCTTAGGTTACATAAGGAAGAGTTTGAGCAACCACTTTGTGACGTTAAAAAATTTACCTAAATTTCCTGAGTCTTTGTTTTTATGGAGGAAAGCATAAATTTGCTTGTTTACTGGTTGTGATAAGTTCTACATGGCAGGTGACTTAGAAGCAGCAACCTAGCTGAAATGGGAGGCTAGAGGCTTGGTAAAGTTTTTACTTAGATTTTATGTGTGTATTTTGAATTTGTTATGTAACTGATGAGGAAAAGCAACCGAATCTCCTTTACAATCCCTAACCTGTAAGAAGACAAAATTTGGCAACATATCTCACAGGGATTTTTGATGGTAAAACATGACTTTCCATAAATTTAAATGATTTGCATATGGAACTGGTATCATTGTGAGTTTTCTGACCTAAGTCAGTTCAAATGAATTTATGGATGTGCCATGCATCACAAAGTTTGCCAAAAATGGAATAGACTATAGAAGTATATCTCTCCATTTTGGTTATGGGAAAAATTTGCACTTACCAATCAGTTGATGCAAGATTGCAAAGATATGATAATTGAGAGGACTGATAAGCCTGCACAGATAATTGACATTTAAGATTGTAATCAAAATAAAGGAATAGAGTATAGTATCAGAGCAAAACTGCAGGCAAGTATCTGGGACCCAAGAGACCCACCAAGTTCAGCTCTTCCTGGTCCTTTCTAAGTTTCACAGGTGGTGCTTCATCTCTGGATTATGAACTATCGAGAAGTACAGAAGGATATTCATTTCAAGAAAGCTGCAGCCAAAGTTTTTAGGTTTTTTGTTATTGTTGTTGTTTTAACGCACCACTGCTTATGAAGTAAAACTAGGTTGCCAGATGTAACCCATCCATCTACACATCTCCAAACCATGGCCCTAGGTTCTGCAAGAGGACTTTTAAACTTTAAAGCGCATATTAAAAATTACTAGCTAGCTCATTTCATCTTTATGACAGACACAAGTCTATAACTAACTTCCAGGTAAACCCAGAAACAATCACAGGGCTGTCCTTTCGGAGTTGATGAATCAGATATTTTTCTGGCTACGTAGACACAGCCAAACATTCATGAGTTACACTAGATTTTTAAAAATCATTAGAATTTAAACTAAGGGCCGGGCACAGTGGCTCACGCCTGTAATCCCAGCACTTTGGGAGGCTGAGGTGGGCGGACCACTTGAGGTCAGGAATTCGAGACCAGCCTGGCTAACGTGGCGAAACCCCCTCTCTACTAAAAATACGAAAAAAAAATTAGTCAGGCATGGTGGCATCTGCCTGTAATCCCAGCTACTCAGGAAGCTGAGGCAGGATCACTTGAACCTGGGAGGTGGAGGTTGCAGTGAGCCGAGATGGCGCCATTTGCACTACAGCTTGGGTGACAAGAGCGAAACTCCGTCTAAAAAAAAAATAATAATATTTAATTCATTAAAATTAGGACTAGACTAGGTCAAAAATCAGTGGTACTTTGATTAATATTGCCTTGGTAATAACACTGGTGCTTTTGATTCAAGATCATGTACCTTGAATATATGGTCATTTTTAACGAATTGTGTATAAGCAAATGCTTTATTTAAAATTTTAGCTGACTCAGTTGTCATCAAATTTGAGTCCCAGAGTGGATTAACCTCTAGCAATGTGTCAGTTAAAGAATCACGTTTTCCCTTTCATTCTGTCATCAAGGAAAGCTAACTAATGTTTATGCTAGTAATAGATTATTGAGAATCAGGCATGCAGGTTATATTCACCAGCTATAATTTATGTCCTCAAGCTTATCCAGAATCCCCAGGGGTAAAGACATCTCTGAAGCTCCAAAGACAACTGCCAGTTATCTGCAGAATTGTTTTAGTGTCTTCTGAGACACCTACATTTGTTGATCTACTATGCAGATTTTGAGATCATATTTTGACCTCAAGCTTTTATTTATTTTTCAAAAAATAAATGTGTGGGGGGTTTTGTTTTTATTTTTTTGAGTGGGGGGCCTCATTCTGTTACCCAAACTGGAGTGCAGTGATGCAATCATGGCTCACTGCCACCTCAAACTCCCGGGCTCAAGCAATTCTTCCTCAGCATCCCCAATAGGTAGGACAACAGGCACATGCCACCATGCCTGGCTTTTTAAAATTCTTTTTAGAGATAAGATCTTGCTATGTTGCACAGTCTGGTCTGGAACTCTCAGCCTCAAGCTGTCCTCCTGCCTTGGCCTCCCAAAGCACTTGGGATTATGGGTGTGAGCCACTCTGCCCCGAAAAAAATGGTTTTTTTGTTTATTTGTTTTTGAGACAGAGTCTCACTTCTTTACCCAGGCTGGGGTACAATGGTACAATCTCGACCCACTGCAACCTCCACCTCCCAGGTTCAAGCAATTCTCCTGCCTCAGCCTCCCCAGTAGCTGGGATTACAGGCACGTGCCACCATACCCAGCTAATTTTTGTATTTTTAGTAGAGACAGGGTTTCACCATATTGACCAAGCTGGCCTCGAACTCCTGTCCTCAAGTGATACGCCCGCCTCACCCTCTCAAAGTGCTGAGATTACAGGCATGAGCTACTGTGCTAGGCCAACATATGTGTTCTGAATAAAAGCTTTTAAAAATGCACAAACAGGTATCAGTTAGAATTGCCAAGGGGCTTCTTACGAATATTTTAGCATAAAAATTTCTATCGGCATCTCCAAAGTTGCTTCTAATAAAAATGCAATATAAACAAAGCAACTTTAAGACAAATTTCCTTTTCAATTAGGTTATTGCTCCCAGGAAACTCCAAATATAAATTCTGAAGTCTTCAGTGAGAGCTTGTTTTGCTTATCTGAATTAAAACTATTTAATAAATATTGTTGAGTGCTTCCTAAACATGAGTCTTTGAGGTCAGCTCTTGCAGAGATAAAAATGATAAGCAAAGCATAGTCCCTGACCACAAAAAGTTAACAATACAACAAGGAAGATAAGCAATACAAAAATAGCCATAATAGAAGCTAGAGTGAGATAGCTGCTATATCAGAGATTCTGATAAACTATGGTAATGGTTCAAATAAAAGAAACAGAGTTTAATGTTGGCCAGTCATGTGAGCATAGCACAACGAACAGACAAGAAAAATGTATAAGGAGTAATTCATCTCAGGTAATTGGAAGGCTAATGACCTCATTTCCAGATCCATTTATATGTTCTTACTTCCACTGATGCAATATGATTTAGACATTTAGGTAACATTCATTAGCATCAAACGAAATCAGATTTTACATTTGTCTGGTTTATTTAATCCATAGAGACAATGAAATCAAACAAAATGAATCCAGTATGGATTTTTAGTTTAAAATATCTTTCATTACAGAATAAGACACAAAAATGCACTTAAGGTAGTCATTTCCTCATATTTTTGCAATATTTTAATTTAATCTTTTATGAAAATAGAAATATTCTATGCTCCTTTTCATGGTTAAACATACACTGATGATATCAAAAAAATGTGGTTTTAATGATCCTGACTATAATTTTTTATTGTGTTTTCATCTTTAAGGAAAATGAGAATTTTATATACATAATGAGTTTTATCAATAAAAATATTTGAAAGCATAGCTATGGGAAAGTACATTTTATTTTAGAAATTTTATTGAAGATATATGCATGTATCATGTTTAATTCAATAAATTTTCACAAATGGAACAATACCATGAACATGTATCATGATCAAGAAACAAAATATCAATTTCCCAAAAATCTCTTCTTCTATCCTTTTCCAGTTACTATCCCACATGGCTCAAGGATAAATACTATTCTGACCTCTAACGATATAGATTAAATTTGCTGAATTCAACCTTATATATATTATCGAGTATTATACATTTGTATAACATTCAGCTTTCCTTACTCAAAGCTATGCTTATGAAACTTAATTATATTGTTCTATATAGTTTTTATACATTCTATCTCACTGCCACATATTGTTCTATTGTGTGAACATACAGCAATATTTATATTCATTTTACTGTTAGTGAGCCTTTGAGATTTTCCAATTTGTGCCTGTTTCCAATAGTACTGCTATTAAGACTCAAAAAGTTGTTTTTAGGTACACACACACACACACACACACACGGTAAACTGAGGACTAGAATTTCTAGGTCATACAGTGTGCATTTATTTAATTTTAGTAGATAATGCCAAACATTTCGAAGTTGATCATTAGAATTCACACTCCTGAGAGCAGACTATGAGAAACCAGGATGCAACATATGTCCACCAAAGCTGCTTCATTTTACCTACTCTGGTTGTTACATTTAACTAAAAAAAAATCACCACTAATTAATTACATATTATTTTAGAAGTATTTTTGCCTTATCCATTTGTTGATACAATTCTCCCAGATTTCTCAGGTATCCAGGGAATATCTATTGTGTCAACTTATAACAGAGATTTTTAAAAAATATTTTAATCTAAATTACATCAATCTTACCTAATTTAATCTTTAATTTTTCTGTCATATTTCCAGAACTTACTGACATCTTAAATAACTTTTTTTTAAATAAAGTATTACCAATCTATTTTATTTTATTATAGCATAGTGTCCACATAATTATGAAGGAAATGCATGCTTAACGTTATAGTTTTCGAATAATAAAGAAAATAATTGTCTATGAAAATTGTAGTGTGTTTTCTCCTAGTCATTATGATAACTTATGTTTGTAACAAAATAACTGATAAATTCATAAGGTTATAAAAAGAAATTTTAAGGAATTACAATTTTATCATCAAGAAATATGAAGAAGAAATAGTACTAATGATTAATTTACATAATAATTTATAATTCAGCACAGGTTATTATACTCATAATACATTTACATTAAAATACTTGGGCTGGGTGTGGTGGCTCACACCTGTAATCCCAGCACTTTGGGAGGCCGAGGTGGGCGGATCACGAGGTCAGGAGATCGAGACCATCCTGGCTAACATGGTGAAACCCCGTCTCTACTAAAAGTACAAAAAATTAGCCAGGCGTGGTGTTGGGCGCCTGTAGTCCCAGGTACTCGGGAGGCTGAGGCAGGAGAATGGCCTGAACCTGGGAGGCAGAGCTTGCAGTGAGCCGAGATCGCACCACTGCACTCCAGCCTGGGTGACAGAGCGAGGCTCTGTCTCAAAAGAAAAAAAAAACAAAAACTTATTGGAATACAAATTTTTGGAAGAGGCAGTTAGAGCAAGGAACAAAACATGGAACAAAATTCATTCTATTGCACTTACTTAAACCGCTGACTTTTATTATTTCCTATGAAATTCATCCTTTTATTAAACCATCTCAATATATAAAACTTCACTATTTATTGCATTTTGTATTTTGTAACTCATTTTATTTTGGTAAGATATATATATTGTTGTTTGTTTGTTCCAAAATGTTATCATGAAGTTGAGATAAATAAATTTCTGTGTAGCTAAGAGACAGTAAAGATAGATGATAGATAGATAGATGGATAGCTAGATAGATATTCAATGATTGCTTGCCTGCAGTGTAAAAAATAACCTGAAAAATACACATGACCCAATCTAATATATAAAATGAGAATCTTCTGACAAAAAGTTACACATGAAATAAATTGCCCAGAGTAAATGTTGAAAGTGACTTCCCCTAGCCCCACAAAAAGACTGCACTGCTGTGACATGAGTAGAAGGTAAAATAAAGCCGTCAATCTGCCATACTCTTTCCTCTTTTATTGTTTTGTGACCTCAGACAGGGAAGTTTCAAAAGTCATTATTTGATCGCACTCTTGGGAGCCTTCCATTTTCACCTAGTGAACTACTTGATCGTTTTCAGGGCAAAGAGAAGACAAACAAAGAGATGTTTGAACAAAAACAAAGCTACTGGTCTATAACTAGAACTACTTTTATGAGCTTGAGGTAGTAAGGGCTAGAAGTAGTTTCTTTCATTAAATGTTTAATCTTAAAATCATTCTCTTTCTCTCTCTTTTATTTTTTGGAATCATATATCTGAGATAATTGTTGTTAACGGAAAGGGGGGTCCAGATCCAGACCCCAAAAGAGGGCTCTTGGATCTCGCACAACAAAGAATTTAAGGTGAATCCATAAAGTCAAAGCAAGTTTATTAAGAAAGTAAAGAAATAAAGAATGGCTACTCCATAGACAGGGCAGCTGTGAGGACTGACTGCTGGTTGCTTATGTTTATGGTTATTTCTTGGTCGCATGCTGAACAAGGGGTGGATTATTCATGCCTCCCCTTTTTAGACCGTATAGGATAACTTCCTGATGTTGCCATGGCCTTTCTAAACTGTCAGGGTGCTGGTGGGAGCATAGTAGTGAGGATGACCAGAGGCGACTCCCGTGGCCATCTTGGTTTTGGTGGGTTTTAACCAGCTTCTTCACTGCAACCTGTTTTATCAGCAAGGTCTTTATGACCTGTGTCTTGTGCTGACCTCCTACCTCATCTGTGACTAGGAATGCCTCAACCTGCTGGGAATGTAGCCCAGCGTGTCTCAGCCTTATTTTACCAAGCCCCTGCTCCAGATGGAGTTGCTCTGGTTCAAATGTCTCTGACAATATGGCCAATTATTAATCATTGATTATTTGCATGTTTTAACATATTTGAAGGCTAATAGCACCATGACTGTGGTCCAAGTTACAAATCAATTGTTTTTAAAGTTTTAATAAAATATCAACCAATCAATATACTCAATAAAATATAAAATAATCAAATAATATTGATTGATATTTTATTGTTTTAGAGGAATGTCTAAGCCCATGAGTCTATAAAGAGTTAGAGAGGTATGGATTTAAAAAAATGTGCTTTTCCTCATCCCACCATTTTCTTGTCCTACCTAATCTAATTGCCTATATGATTTTAGTTCGAATATAATTTCTTCAAGGAAACTTCTTTAACCCTACATTAACTCAAATTTATATGTGAATGCCCTCTCACTTATTGTTTTTTCTTTATATCTTTTCATAATTAAACATGTATAATAATTTAAATAAATGTTTGACTATTGTTTCTCTTTCTTACCAAATGGTGAACTGGAGAGAGAAAGAGCTTACTCTCCAATATACCGTAAATGCTGAACACAATGAGTCACATATAGGAAACAATCAATACATATTTGTTGAATGAATATATCTGCTTGTTTATGTTTCTACAATGACAGTGGAAATAGATATATTTTATTTTTGTAAATATCCAGTGCTGGAAAAAATGCCAATTATCATAATTATGTCTCACATTTGCAACATCCTTTCATCATAAAAAGCATTTTCATATTTCCCTTAAAGGTGAGAATTCTCAGAAAGGCTGTGGTGGGATCTTAACAAAATGGCAGTCTCTCAGTGTAACAAGACTCAAACTGTTGATCAAGATTGTGTCATAGAGAAAATGTCTTAAAATAATATTAATTAAATTAAAATTTTTATGAGTAAAATTATCAAAACTTTGGTCAATAAAATGAATTAAAATTAAGTGATATAGAATAATCGGGAAAATATAAGAAATAAAAGAGTTCATGCTTAAAACATAGGTAGCATTTAGTCAAATTAGGCTACTTGTTTATACACGAATCAAGAGAGTAAAAAGTGTATAAAACATGCATTTATTTTGACAAGGTGAGTCTTCCAATAGAATTCCTTTGAAATAACAAGAGTCTAACCAATAGTAGAGCTCAGTTAGCTTTTCTTCTATCTGTACTTCCAGGGTTTATCTAACCAGCTTAGCAAGAAAGCCCTAGATTGCTTTGTGTAAGCTGAGAAGTTAACAATATACAGAATAAACAAGTCTTTAAATAATAATTAAGTGAATTATGTAATATCTTGTCAAGTATATCCTAAATGTCTTTCATAAACTCATGAAAAAAGTATAATCTAGTTCACTATGATAGTTTTTCCTGGTCTGGAGTTCAAGTAAAAGGAACTCTGGTAGCAGTTTTCAGCTTGTAATTTCAATCAAGACTGCAAAAATCAGCAGTTCTCTCTTTATTTTCTGAAAGGAATTTGTAAAGAAATAAGAAAATAGAGAAATATTAAAATTTTATGAAAATCAGAAATAGCTAAACCCAAAACACCAAATTTGGGAAAAAGGCTACTATGTTCCAGTGAAGCAAAGCTTTAGCACCCACACTAAATGGTAACGTGTTGGGGTTCAATCAGCCTGGTGGGAAAACTATTAGAGATAGTTATAGAGATAGACTCGAGTCTTCCTGGAAGGCCGAGAAGTTTGCATAACTTTGGTAATAGGTATTTTTGAAGGCAATCGGATCTTTACCTTTAAACAAATTTAAGTAGTAATAAAGGAAGGCAGAATAGTTTACCTAGCTAGCTTGTTTACTCATATGATCTTAAAACTAACCTTTGATGTACTGTGGGTGCTTAAGTGCTTTTTACTTGGGAAGTCCACAATGTCCATTACCCTTTAATGGTGTTGACTAAAGGTTTTGTTAATTAATCTTACTGAATAAATGTGAGTCTGACTAGCTGATCAAGGCCGAGTTGCAACTGTTTACAGAACTCAGCAGGGAGTCTGTAAGCCGCTCAGACCCTCAGCTGGACTGGCAAAGCAAAAAATCTGCGTGTCAGTGTACTTTATTCATCCATCGCCAAGTCAGGGGTCTGCAAGGGACAGACTCCACACAGCTGGTGTCTGCTCGAGAGGAGCGCTGCCACAGTAATGCGACTAAGAAGCTTACGCAGAGCCTTAAAAAGCCATACCCTCAAGATGAGGAACAAAGTCTATATTGCCCATCCTAAATTCTTTGCCATTGTGAAAAGGAGATACAGATAATGATAGCAGGAGTGAGCCTGGCTCTGATACTGAAAATCAAAGGAAGTAAGGTTAATGATGAATCAAATGGCAAATTCCTATCTGGAAGAAGCATTTTTACAGTGGTTGGGGAGGAAATCAGTCTCATATACTTATGAAAATAGAGTCACAGTTTTATTTTTCCTGAAGACCAAATTCAAGTTTAGAATGAAGGCTAATCATACACACAGAACCTAGGATCCTAAGAATAGTTCAACGTCTCCTGAAACAGTCCTTCACAAATCCTTGAAAGATCTTGCTTTAAATTGATGGTCTTATAAATTATCACTGCCAGTTATAATGAATACTTATAAAAAGAAATAGCTCATGATGTAAACAACTATGCTACTTAAATAAAGAGAATAATAAAAATTGACCAGTTAACATTCAGTTTGGGAGCAACAAGGACCTAAAAAATAATGACTTAAGATCAAAATAAATTTCTGTAGCATGAACAAATTTAGAGGTTAGCACTCATATCATTTATACTATATATTTTATACTATGCTTTTATTGTGTCTTTTCTATGTTTAGATAAATTTAGATATATGACATGGCTTTGCTATGTCCCCACCAAATCTCATCTTGAATTCTATTTCCCATAATCTCCACATATTGTGGGAGAGACCGAGTGGTAGGTAATTAAATCATGAGGGCTGTTACCCTCATGCTGTTCTCATGATAGTGAGTGAGTTCTCACAAGATGTTCTGGTTTTATAAAAGGATTACCTTCCCACCTTTTGCTCAAAATCTCCTTTCTGTCACCCTATGAAGAAAGACGTGTTTGCTTCCCCTTCTGCCATGATTGTGTTTCCTGAAGCCTCCTAGTCATGCTGAGCTGTGAGTCAATTAAACCTCTTTCCTTTATAAATTACCCAGTATCAGGTATATCCTTATAGCAGCATGAGAATGGGCCAAGAAAATATATAAATACTATGATTTTACAGGTTGCATACACTGGATAATTGCAGAGTCCCCAGTAATCTGTCATTGTATAATTGGAGAACCTATAAAAACTTCAGGTAAAAAGCAGAATAGGCCAGGCGCAGTGGCTCATGCCTGTAATCCCAGCACTTTGAGATGCCAAGGCAAGCAGATCACCTGAGGTCAGGAGATCGAGACCAGCCTGACCAATATGATGAAACCCCGTCTCTACTAAAAATACAAAAATTAGCTGGGCGTGGTGGCATGTGCTTGTAACCTCAGCTACTTGGGAGACTGAGACAGGAGAATCGCTTGAACCTGGGAGGTGGAGGTTGCAGGAAGCTGAGATCATGCCATTGCACTCCAGCCTAAGCAACAAGAGCAAAACTCCATCTCAAAACAAACAAACAAACAAAAAACAGAGAAGCAGAATAAATATTTGTAGCTGTAGCCCAAAATAAAGTCTTCCTTTAATAAAGACGATTTGAATGCACAAGGATCCAGAAGAGTCAACCCTAAGCAACATGCCGGTAAAGGTAATTGGCTTCAAAGATATATAAACAGAAAACTTGTGCTGCAAGGCAAGAATACTATTTTACTTACAAAGAATTAAAAGAATGAAAGCTGGTCGGACACTGCTGTAGAACAATAGTCGAAGCTAAAGAGAGTGGAACAATTTCTTTTAATTTCTCAAGGAGAATAGAAAAGTAACCCAAGAATTTTATATATTAACAAATACAGTCATGTAATGCATTATGATGTTTCAGTCACCAACAGAGCATGAATCCAACAGTGGGCCCACACAATTACAATAGAGCTGAAAAATATCTATTATCTTGTGATATCCTAGCCATTTTACCATAATAGCACAATGCATTATTCATGTGTTTGTGGTGATGTTAGTGAAAACAAACTTATGGCACTGGCAGTCAGATAAAATTACAGCACATACAAATATGTACAGCTGACTATATTACTGGTTTACATAGTTTCTATACTATACTTTCATCATTATTTCAGAGTTTACACCTACTTCCAAAAAAAGTTAACTGTAAAAGAGCCTCAGGCAGTCCTTCAGGAGTTATTCCAGAAGAAAGCATTGTTACCATAGGAAATGACAGCTTCATGGGTGTTATTGCCCTTGAAGACCTTCCAGTGGGAGAAGATGTGGAGGTGGGAGACAATAATATCGATTATCCTGACCCCATATAGGCCTAGGCTAATATGTGTGTTGTGTCTTAGTTTTTAAGGAAAAATTTTGAACCTTTAAACAAATTAAAAATGGGAAAAGTACCTATAGAAGAATACAAACAAAATTTTGTGTGGTTGTACAAATGCTAAGG
The DNA here is from genome assembly GCF_000001405.40 of Homo sapiens. NCBI lineage: Eukaryota > Metazoa > Chordata > Mammalia > Primates > Hominidae > Homo > Homo sapiens. The sequence goes on along the minus strand of NC_000011.10, from coordinate 98,628,462 downwards.
TTATTACAAGAGTTAAAAAGTTAAAAAAGTAAAACTTTAAAAAGTTAGGGATTCTAAAGTAAAAAATGTTACAGTAAGCTAAGATTAATTTAGTATAAAAAAAATTTTTAAATACATTTAGTGTCGCCAAAGTATACAGCGTTTGTAAAGTCCACATAGTGTACATTAGTAATGTCTTAGGCCTTCACATTCACTCACTGACTCACCCAAAATAACTTCCAGTCCCGCAAGCTCTATTCATGATAAGTGCCCTATACATATGTACCATGTTTTATCTTTTATACTATACTTTTATTGTATCTTTTCTATGTTTAGATAAATTTACATATACAAATAGCATGATTTTAAAGTTGGCATACACTACTCAGTACAATAACATGCCATACAGGTCTGTTGCCTAGGAACGATAGGCTCTACTGTATAACCCAGGTGTGTAGTAGGCTGGACTATCTAGATTTGTGTAAGTGCACTCTATGATGTTTGAACAAAGACAAAATCACCTACCAATGCATTTCTCAGAATGTATACTGATCATTATGTGATGCATAACTGTAAGTAAAAGCAACAGAAAATAGTTTTGACTCTGCTAAGAACAAAGAACTATTATTCTCAATAAACTTTTAGTGAAACTCCTAGAAGAACCAAGCAAAGCAAAATATAACTTAAAAAATCAACAAAATGGTTGGGTGCAGTGGCTCACACCTATAATCATGGCGCTTTGGGATGCCGAGGTGGGTGGATGGCTTAAAACCAGGAGTTTGAGACCAGCCAGGGAAATGTCGCAAACCCCGTCTCTACAAAAAATACAAAAACTTAGCCTGGCGTGGTGGCATGCACCTGTAGTCCCAGCTACCTGGAAAGCTCAGGTGGTAGGATCACCTGAGCCCGAGTGGATGAGGCTATAGTGAGCTGTAAGCACACTACTGCACTCCAGCCTGGGTAACAGGGTGAGACACTGCTTTAAAAGAAAAAAAAAAAAAGAACAACAACAAAAAACTGGTTGTGGCCAGGTGCAGTGGTTCACACCTGTAATCCCAGCATTTTGAGAGACCAAGGCAGGCAGATCACCTGAGGTCAGGAGTTCGAGACCAGCCTGCCTGGCCAACATGCAGAAACCCTGTCTCTACTAAAACTAAATTAGCCAGGCATGGTGGCAGGGACCTGAAATCCCAGCTACTTGGGAGGCTGAGGTAGGAGAATCACTTGAACCTGGGAGGTGGAGGCTGCAGTGAGCTGAGATCACACCACTCACTCCAGCCTTGGCAACAGAGCAAGAGTCCGCCTCAAAAAAAAAAAAAAAAAAAAAAGACTGGTCGTAAGTAGGTAGTTTACTTAACTCAAGGAGTGAGACAAAAACGTTGTGATTTTGTTTGCAGAATACAACATAAGAGTTATATTCTCAGACAAAATAAAATGATATAACAAAAACATTGGGAAGGGAGAGAAAGAATAATATGAGAAGTAGAGAAAAAAAACTTATTCTACCTTTTGCTTGTCCGTGTTTCTGGAATCTGTGGCTGGTCGTTAATATATTTTGGGAATCCTCAGTCATTCTGTTTCCAAAACATCAGGAGTTATGGTCTAGGTCCTGCCGCTCACCACACAGGAAGCCAATCACTGAGACAGTGCATTCCCAAGAAAGAAGACTTGAGTTGGGTGCTGTAGGTGAGGCAATGAGAGCTCAGTCCCAAATCCATCTCCCTGACTGAGTAAAACTAAGGGTTTATGTAGCAGGGAAGAAATGTAACAATGTGTAAGAAAAGAAGAACTTGGTGGGGGTGTGGGAAGAATACATCTGATGCTGTCATCTGTTGAGTTTCAGTTCTTTGATACTTTTATTGACAGGCATGAAGGTCCTTTCCTGAGGAAGGAACTCAGATAAAACAAATACAGCTTTTAACAGCAGAAGGGTAAGTTTCTATTTTTATCCAAAAGAACGTCTATGAGACTATTGGGCCAGTTCCAATTATCTTTTCAAACACAATTTTTTACTACCTCGTTGTTTTCCATTCATCTTCTGGGTTATAATGACATATATGTTAGATTATTTGATATTCAAAAATGGTACTTTTTCATGACAGAGCCTGGAAGTTTCTTGATTCTCTTTGTTCAGAATATTATAGAAAGGTTCCATGAGTTCTGCCTCAAGAGTGAGGTTTTCCTAATACTGCTGCTCCAACCTCTGTCTCTATTCCAGGGCAGAATCTAAGGTACAGGTAAATTCCCTTCCGCTCCTCCTGTAGCAGTTGAACTCTGACATGTGTCAATGGGTGCTTGTGGCCAGCCAGTTTCTAGTCCATTTTCCAGAGCCTGCATACTTCAATTTGAATCAGTGCAAGAATCTCAGCATGAAAAGATTGTCTGCTCATATCCTCCTACCATATGACAGATGAATTTTAGATATCATCACAGAGCATGAAGGAGTGACAGCTGACCTTTGCCTGGGATTAGGTCAGGAACCGGGATGTGGGTGGATTTTTTTTCTTCCCTCCAAGTTGATCTTCACTTCTCAGGAGAGCAGGCTCTGATCTGGGGCATGGGAATGTTGTTTGCTTCTCCTCCTGCATCCCATGTAGTTTAATTCTTCTTGAGAAGGGTCTGGGGCACCAGTTGGTTTTATGCCAGTATTTCAATCATGCAGAGCTCAGAAGACATCTGGCCTTCTACGGTTACTCCTGCTCTGTCTTCAAGTCTTAGCAAGCCTTACAAAACCACCACAGGTGGCTCCCTCAGGTCCCCTGACCTTCCTCCAGTCTTTTTGTTTGTTTGTTTGTTTGAGCAGTCAATGGAAGCCTGTGGGCAAAAAGCTAATGAGTGGTGCCTTCTCCCCTTGTCTTTGGACTCCCAGGGATGCTAATCTGACACTCTAGCTCACACTCGGTCTTTAAATATTTGTTAATATGTGAGCTGTTTTCTTCTTATCCATAATAAAAATAAATTTTATACCAGAACTTATTCATTCATTCTTTTTAAGATTTGTAATACAAAATAAAATCAGTAATATAAGAAGGAAACTAATATCCTACTAAAGACTTTTTAGTTTATTAAGCTCATTATTTTGAAATAATTTTAGAAAGTAAAAAGAGTTAGAAAATAGTCCAGACTGTTTTCATATATACTGTGTCCCTACCCTCTTCTAATGTTCACATCTTACATAACAACAGCACATTGGTCAACTACTACTAATTAAACCTTAGATATTATTTAGGTTTCTCCACTTTTCTACTAATGTCTTCTTTACACTTCCTAGATATAACACTGTATTTCTCTTAGTCTCCTTAAACCAACGTGTGTAACAATTTTAACTTCTATGTCTGTAATTGGTAATGTTATAGACATGCTACTCAGTAACTAAACTTGATATTCAGTAAGTTTTTAAAACTCTTTTACAAAATTTTATCTCAATCTGTATTTTTCTTCAAATTGCGTATTTTAGCATTTTCAGTGTTTTACATTATCACAAATTATTACTACTAATTTACATCTATTTAATTTTTAAATGACTAAGCCTAACTTTAAAATAAATCCCCTATTTTTTTCTTTTGTGAATTAAAAAAAATTGAAAATATAAAGATTAATTTGAAGAAAGGTAAGGTTATCTCAAGTACCTTTTGTTTTAAGACCATCTGGCTAAAAAGATATTTTTAGTTTAAAAAGGAGGAAAAAAGCTCACTAATTTTGTACATTTTACCCACATACTGTGTATCATTAACATCTCATATAGGAGAAATTTCTAGTATCTTAAGCGTTAGGTAATAAAAGGTATTAAAAGATTTTTTTTTCAATTTTACGAAAGCACCAGCTTATCTTTTGGGATATAATGGCATAAACTTATGTTTACCAGCTTTTCCCCTCTAAGTACAACTAAATAACCTGAAAAAATTTTACTTAATTAAATAGACAGTCATAAATGGAATCCGAAAGGTTTAAAAGTCTACTGTCTAAGGTCTCAGTACCTGAAGAAAGACATGATGAGTTATCTTGGTTTTATCTTTATCTCCTAAATATCCAGGCTGGACAATATGGGCAACAAGGGGAATGACAATCCAGAAATACTAGTAGGTATAGACACCCCGACACACACAGTCCCCTAAAGAAAGAGGGAAAGAGAGAAGGAGAGAGGGAGAGAAGAAATGTCTAAGTTCTCTGACTAAAAGTCCTATGAAAGGGAAAGCCCAGCCACAGCAATGCTAGCAGAGGAATGGGTGCTAACCCATCCCTCCTTCACATCTATTGGCAGCAGCAGGCCAATCTTTCAGTGATACGGGAGAGGGCAGGGAAGTTCTAGGTAGAGAAAGGTGGGGCTCCTGGCTAGGGGTCCACCCTCAGGCCTGTTCCCACAGACCTAGGAGAGGACAGCCACTCCTGTTTTCATGCCCAAATGTTGCATTTTCCAAGACCACTCTGGCCTGCCACGCCCCCATACTGTACCTATAAAAACCCTGAGACCCTAGTAGGCAGACACAAGCAGCTGGACATCAAGAGAAGCAGAGGAGCAGAAGAACACATCAGCAGAACACACCTACAGACTCCGGCAAGCCATCGATGGCAGAATGATGCAGACAATGTGGAATTCAGCCGGGGGTGGTCAGAAGAGAGTCTGGCTACTGGGCAGCCTGACTCCAAGGAAAAACCACCTTCCCACTCTATCCCCTTTCTGGCCTCCCCATTCACCTTGCTGAAAGCTACCTCCACTCAATAAAACCTTGCACTCATTCTCCAAACCCATGTGCGATCCGATTTTATCGGTTCACTAAGGAAGAACCCAAGATACAGAAAGCCCTCTGTCCTTGGAATAAGGCACATAGTCTAATTGAGCTGATTAACACAAGTCATCTGCAGATGGCTAAACTGAAAGGGCGCACTGTAACACATTCCTAATGGGGCTTCAGGAGCTGTAAACACTCAACCCTAGATGCTGCTGTGGGGTCAGAGCTCATGCTCCCCATGACCTGCTTGTCTGCCTGCTCGCCCTAGGGTTTTTGAGCAGTGGGGCATCGAATAAGTGAGCCACACTGCCATCACATACCCTGAGAGGGAGACAAGGGAACTTTTCCATTTCAACAGCAATGGCATAAATGAACCTTGGCAGCCAGCACATTTCCTTCCCACAACCACTCGCAGTAGCAGTCCCAATTCACCCGCAGCAGTGGCAACCAGGACCCAGACAGTCTTACCCAACTTTTGTCCCATAAACTTAGTAAGCAAGAGGAGCCCATCTGCCTACACTGGTGGCACCAGCAAGCCTGCAGGTACCTGTCCTCTACCCAACAGCAGAGGATCTATGACGCGAGTTTCACAATCTTCCAGCCAATAGCATAGAGCCAGCCAAACTTGAAAACATATTGTCCTCTACTTAGAAGCAGCAAAAGATCAACACCAGGAGTCTTCCAGCTCTTTGATAAATAGTAGAAGGGAACTCAGGGTCAGCATATCTCAGCCCTTTACCAAGTGGCAAAAGGTGGCCTAAATAGGCACTTCTCTCCTATGTTGGCATCAGCAGACACAGAGTGGGAACACCCCCTACAATAGGTGGTCAAAAAACAGGCCAGAGTGAATGCTTTTCATCCATGGGTCCAAGGGTCCAAATTCCCCAAACCCACATAATGGCACTGGGTGGCTAATAATTGTCTTCTGTCTCTGTAGATGGCACCAGCAGGGATCTAGCAAGAATTTGACACAGTTGGAAGAATGAAGCAGACAAGAATAGCATTTCAGAGGCTCAGAAAACTAATTTTTTTATTGGAACTGCAGTCCACACTAGTAGGTCACAAGCTACAAGCTAAATCTAAACAAAAAGGTTAGATTCTAAAATAGAATTAAACAGTATGAGGAGTATCCCAACATAATATTCAAAATGACAGAGAATACAATAAAAATGACTCATTATATCATGAATAAGTAAGATTACAACTTAATCTTATTCAACAGATGCCAATACTGAGATGAATCAGATATTGAAACTTGCTGACAAAGATTTTAAAGAAGACATTACAAACTGCTTCAATAGGTAATTATGAATTCCCTTGAATGACAGGTAAAAATATAAAGTTTTCACAAAGAAATTGAAGTTATAAGAAAAAGCCAAATAGAAATTTAAAAATTTAAAATAATAATAATTGGGAAAAAAACATTGTCTTTTCAACAGATGGTGCTGGAACAACAGGATATCCACATGCCCAAAAAAAAAAAAAAAAAGAAAGAATGGTGGGAGGAAGAGAGGGAGGAGGGAAAGAAGGAGAGAAGAAAAGAAGAAACGAAGGAAGGGATAAGGGAAGGGAAGAAAAGGGAAGGAAGGGGAAGGGGAAGGGGGGAAAAGGGGAAGAGGAAGAAGGGGAGGGGAGGGAAGGGGGGAAGGGAGGAAAGGAGGAGGGGAGGGAGAGGAGGGGGGGAGGGAAGGGAAGGGAAGGGAGAGACACAGACCTTATACCCTTCACAAAAATTGACTCAAATAAATCATGGACCTGGATGTTACCTTAAGGAACTGAATTCTGCCAACAATGTAAATGCACTTAGAAATGGATTCTTTCCTAACTAAGCTTCCATAAGAGAATTTAGCCTAGCTGACACCTTAAATTTAACCTTTTGAAATCCTGAGCCTAAAAATTATTTGAGTCATGCCTGAATATGTGATGTACATAACTGTATTGTTTTAAGCCACTAATGTGTTATACAGTGATAGAAAACTAATACAAGCATCTTTATATACATAAAACAAATTACTATTAAAAACATAAACAACTACTGTTTATTTAGCAATTACTTGCCCAAAACTACTAAGTGAAAACAGAGGAATTTGGAGAGCCTATTTTTTTCTATTGTGTGATTCTTATCCATTCTAATCTAATTCACTAATAAGGTAGATCCAAAAATTTATTTGGCATGTTGAGTTATTGCATTTATAGTAAATATTAGAAAATTATAAGTTCCTCTTCCATTTTAATTTAAGTGGTTGGTTGTAAATAACTTTTAAGTTTGCTACCTGGGCAATTTACAAAAGAAAGAGGTTTAATGGACCTACAGTTCCATGTGGCTGGGGATGCCTCACAATCATGGTGGAAGGCAAGGAGGAGCAAGTCATGTCTTCTACAGATGGCAGCAGGCAAAGAGAGAGAGCTTGTGCAGGGAAACTCCCAATTTTAAAACCATCACATTTCATAAAACTTATTCACTATCATGAGAACAGTATGGGAATGACCTGCCCCCATGATTCAATTATCTCCCACAGGGTCCCTTCCCACAACAGGAAGGGAATTATGTAGGCATTAAGGAACCTACAAGATGAGATTAGGGTGGGGATACAGAGCCAAACAATATCATTCCATGCCTTGCCTCTTGCAAATCTCAAGTCTTCACATTTCAAAACCAATCATACCATCCAACAGTCCCCCAAAGTCTTAACTCATTCCAACGTTAACTCAAAAGTCCACAGTCCAAAATCTCATCTGAGACAAGTCAAGTCCATTCTGTCTATAAGCCTGTAAGATCAAAAGCAAGTTAGTTACTTGCTAGATACAATGGGGGTACAGGAATTTGGTATATACAGCTGATCTGAATGGGATAAATTGTCTAAATAAAATGGGATAAAATAATAAATAAATGGGATAAAAATCTAAATTCCTTTGACTATATGTCCTACATCCAGGTCAAGCTGATGCAAGAGGTGGGTTCCCATGGTCTCGGGCAGCTCCGCCCTTGCAGCTTTGCAGGGTACGGCAGCCCTCTCAGCTGCTTTCATGGGCTACCGCTGAGTGTCTGCAGCTTTTCCAGGTGCACAGTGCAAGCTGTCAGTGAATCTACCATTCTGGGCTCTGGAGCATGGTGGCCCTCTTCTCACAGCTCCACTAGGCAGTGCCCAATAAGGACTCTTTGTTGGGGATCCAATCCTACATTTTCCTTCTGCATGACCCTAGCAGAGGTGCTCCATAAGGGCCCTGCTCCTGCAGCCAACTTCTGCCTGGGCATCCAGGCATTTCCATTCATCCTCTGAAATCTAGGCAGAGGTTCCCAAACCCCAGTTCTTGACTCCTGTGCACTAACAGGCTCAACAGCACATGGAAACTGCCAAAGCTTGGAGTTTGCACCCTCTGGAGCCATGGTCCAAGCTCTACATTGGCCCCTTTCAGCCATGGCTGGAGTGACTGGGACACAGGGCACCAAGTTCCTACGCTGCACACAGCACAGAGACTCTGCGCCTGGCCCATGAAACCATTTTTTCCTTGTAGGCCTCCAGGCCTGTGATGGGAGGGGTTGCCATGAAGACCTCTAACATACCCTGGAGGCATTTTGCTTATTGTCTTGGGGATTAACATTCCATTCCTTGTTTCTTATGCAAATTTCTGCAGCGGGCTTGAATTTCTCCTCAGAAAATGGGTTTTTCTTTTCTATCAAATTGCCAAGATGCAAATTTTCTGAACTTTTTTGCTCTGCTTCCTTCATAAAACTGAATGTCTTTAACAGCACCAAGTCAACTCCTGAATGCTTTGCTGCTTAGAAATTTCTTCTGCCAGATACCCTAAATAATCTCTCTCAAGTTCAAAGTTCCACAAATCTCTAGGGCAGGGGAAAAATGCCACCAGTCTCTTTGCTAAAACATAACAAGGGACACCTTTACTCCAGTTCCCAAGTTCCTCATCTCCATCTGAGACCGCCTCAGCCTGGATTTCATTGTCTATATCATTATCAGCATGTTCATCAAAGCCATTCAACAAGTCTGTAGGGGGTTCCAACCTTTTTCACCTTTTCCTGTCTTCTTCTGAGCCCTCAAAACTGTTTCAACCCCTGCCTGCTACTCAGTTCCAAAATCACTTCCACATTTTCAGTATCTTTTCAGCAGCACCCCACTCTACTGGTACCAATTTACTGTATTAGTCCACTTTCATTGCTGTTAAAGACATACCCAAGACTGGGCAATTTACAAAAGAAAGAGGTTTAATGGACTTACAGTACCACGAGGCTGGAGAGGCCTCAGAATCATGGTGCAAGGCAAGGAAAAGCAAGTCTTGTCTTACATGGATGACAGCAGGCAAAGAAAAAGAGCTTGTGGAGGGAGACTCCTGTTTTAAAAACCATCACATTTCATGAGACTTATTCACTATCATGAGAACAGCATGGGAAAGTCCCATCCTCATGATTCAGTTATCTCCTACCAGGTCCCTCCCACAACACGTGAGAATTGTGGGAGCTAGAAGATGTGATCTGGGTGGGGACACAGAGCCAAACTCTATCAGAGGTGACTGGAGCATGGGGGCAGATTTATCCCTTGCTGTTCTTGTGATAGTGAGTGAGTTCTCATTAGTTCTGATGGTTTAAAAGTGTGTGGCACTTCCTGCTTTGTTCTCTTTCTCTCCTGCCACCATGTGAAGATGTGCTTGCTTCCCCTTCATGCTTCCACCATAACTGTAAGTTTCCTGAGGCCTCCCAGACATGCCTCCTGTACTGCCTGTGGAACTATGAGTCAATTAAACCACTTTTCTTTATACATTACTCAGTCTTTGGTAGTTCTTTATAGCATTGTGAGAACAGAGTAATATAGAAAACTAGTATCAGGTAAATGGAGCACCGCTAAAAAGATGCTGAAAAATATGGAAGCAACTTTGAAACTGATGAACAGGCAGAGGTTGGGACAGTTTGGAGGGCTCAGAAGAAAACAGGAAGATGAGGGAAGGTTTGGAACTTCCTAGAGACTTGTTGAGTGGTTGTGACCAAAATGCTGATAGTGACATGGACAATGACATCCAGGCTGAGGTGGTCTCACATAAAGATGAGGAACTTATTAGGAAACTGAGTAAAGGTCAGTCTTGCTTTAGCTTTACCAAAGAGACTGGCAGGATTGTGCCTTTGCTCTAGGGATCTGTGGAACTTTAAGCTTGAGAGAAATGATTTAGGGGATCTGGTGGAAGAAATTTCTAAGCAGCAACATGTTCAAGAAGTGGTTTTGTTAATTCTAAAAGCCTACAATCATCTGCATAAGCAAAGAGAATTTATCTTTAAAAGGGAAGCAGAGCATAAAAGTTCGGAAAATTTGCAGCCTGATCATGGGGTAGAAAAGAAACAGCCATTTTGGGGGAAGGAATTCAAGGCTGCAGAAATTTGCATAAGTAAAGAAGAGCCAAATGTTAACAGCCAAGACAATGGGGAAAATGCCTCCAAGGTATTTCAGAGACCTTCATTGCTACCCCCTCCCACCACAGGCCCAGAGGCTTAGGAGGGAAAAATGGTTTTGTGGGCCAGGCCCAGGGCCCCACTGCTCTGTGCAGCCTCAGGACATGGTACCCTGCATTCCAGACACTTCAGCTCCAGCTGTGGCTAAAAGGGGCCAACATAAAACTTGGGCCATTGCTTCAGAGGGGCAAGCTTCAAGCTTTGGCAACTTCCATGTGGTGTTGGTCCTGCAGGTGCACAAAAGGCAATAATTGATATTTGGAGCCTCTGCCTAGATTTCAGAGGATATATGGAAACACCTGAATGTCCAGCACAAGTCTGCTGCAGGGGCGAAGCCCTCATGGAGAACCTCTACTAAGACAATGCAGAGGGGAACAGTGGGGTTGGAGGCCCCCCGACAGTGTCCCCACTGGGGCACTTCCTAGTGGAGCTGTGAGAAGAGGGCCACTGTCCTCTAGACCCCAGAACTGTAGACTGACCCAAAGCCTGTGGCATGCACCTGGAAAAGCTGCAGGCACTCAATACCAGCCCATGAAAGAAGTTGTGAGGACTGTACTGTGCAAAGCCATGGGGTAGGAGCTGCCCAAAGCCTTGGAAGCCCACCCCTTGCATCAGTGTGCCCTGAGTGTGAGCAATTGAGTCAAAGGAGATTATTTTGGAGCTTTAATATTTAGTTACTGCCCTTCTGGGTTTTGGACATGCATGGGGCCTATAGCCCCTTTGTTTTGGCCAATTTCTCTCATTTTAAATAGGACCACTTACCCAATGACTGTACCTGCATTGTTTCTTGGAAGTAATTAACTTGTTTTTGATTTTACAGGCTCATAGGCAGAGGGGACTTGTCTCAGATGAGACTTTGGACTTGGACTTTTGAGTGAATGCTGGAATGAGTTATGATTTTGGGGGACTGTTGGGAAGGCATAATTTGTCTTTTGAAACATGAGAAGAACATGAGATTTGGGAGGAGCCATAGACAGAATGATATGGTTTGGCTCTATGTCCCCACCCAAATCTCATGTTGAAATGTAATTCCCAATGCTGGGGCAGGGACCCGGTGGGAGGTGATTTGATCATGGGGGAGGACTTACCCTTTACTGTTCTTGTGAGGTTTATTAAGTTCTCAAGATATCTGTTGGTTTAAATATGTGTGGTCCTTCCTCCTTTTCTTTCTCTCCCTCATCTGCTGCCATTTGAATACCTGCTTGCTTATACTTCTCCCTTTCACCATGATTGTAAGTTTACTGACGCCTCTCCAGCCATGCCTCCTGTACAGCCATTGGAACTGTGAGTCAATTAAACCTATTTTCTTTATAAATCACCCAGTTTCAGGTGGTTCTTTATAACATTGTAAGAACAGACTAATACGCCATTATATACTGTATATTTTTATGATCATGGGTTTTCAAATATTACATTATAAAAATGATCCTATTTGATTACATCTGCTCCTTTTCAAACACTACTTTATAATGCTTTCCCATGGAATGCTTATTACAAGCTTGTACTCCCATTCCTAAAATCACTAAATTAGTAGTAATTGTATTTTTTTTAAAGTTTAAATCAACTTCACCTAAAATGAATATACCATGTTTGACAGGTCCCAGGTTTGCTACTACTCCAATTGCATCATTCTTTAAAGAGACTTGTGTTGCTCATGTGAGACAAAGAAAGCAAGTTTCTTTCCATCTATAATTGAACTCTCATTAGAGGGGAAATCATCTTAGATTTAGGCACTTGCTGTCAGTCACAGATATCCTTGGGTTTATGCTAACATATTTAAGCAAGTTAATTATATTTGCACTCCTGTTGACACATTTACTCATAAATCCCAAGGAGCTTACTCATTAAACTAATCTAACATAGTATTCTATTTGTTGCACAATCAGCTCAGAAAGCCAAGTACAGAAAGCTGCAATTCCACTATGTTTTAACCTAAGTTCCCCTCATATAGTACTTTGTTCTTTCTTCCCTGCTGTGCTCATTTACTTGAATTCACTTTACTTTTGGGATCTGTTTGTTTTCCTTGAAATAGTGTTGGCTGTCTTCCTTTTGCTCTGCCATCTGGTGTTCTTCTTTCTTCTTTGAATTTTCTTTCATTAGTCCTCTTTTTTGTTTGTTTGCTTCTCTCTGATTTTATGCCTCTTCACCTGTGCAAACCATGAGGTTTTTTTTCCCCCTCAATTCCAAAGTATACCTTTCCTTTGGTATTAGTTAAAGTACATTTATTTATTCTTAGTGTTCTGTGTTTGTTCTGTTGTTCTCCTTGTTATAATTTGTCTGCTAGAAATCATTAGTTATTGGCTGGGTGCGGTGGCTCACTCCTGTAATCCCAGCACTTTGGGAGGCCGAGGCAGGTGAATCACAAGGTCAAGAGATCAAGCCCATCCTGGCCAACATGGTGAAACCCTGTCTTTACTAAAAATACAAAATTAGCTGGGCGTCGTGGCACGTGCCTGTAATCCCAGCTACTGGGGTGGCTGAGGCACGAGAATCGCTTGAACCAAGGAGGTAGAGGTTTCAGTGAGCTGAGATCACGCAACTGCACTCCAGCCTGGCGACAGAGCAAGACTCCGTCTCAAAAAAAAAACTAAAAAATTCGTTAGTTATCTTATCACTGCAAGCTCCTTCTACCTCACATGGGGGAGAGAGTCACTCTTCTGTAATAAAATTTTCAAAGACAGTGTGTAACGATAATGAAATAAAATTTAGTGTCCACGTTTTCCAGTCACTGGGTTGTTGAGACTCAGGACAGTTTCTCTCATCTATCTGCACCTCTTTAGTCTCACATGAAAGGAGTAGCTATGCATGTTCTGAAAAGGAATAGGGCCTTCTCTTAGGGAAACCTTTCAACAATTGAAGATGGTTTTTGCGAAGTGAATATTAATAGTATTTGGCAAACCTGTAATTGCAAATGACTCATTCCATATCATTTCCAGTTATGTATAGTGGAACTGATTATAATTGATATATCCAGCCAGACCATTAAAAAAAGAAAATACTTATTACAAATATAAAATCAGTGCAAATATGAAACAAGTTAAATTTTGTTGTTTAATTTGAATAGTTCTAAAGTATAAATTATAACCAGCCACCCACTAAAGAAAAAAAGTCAGCTCAGAAGCCCTTGAGGATTTTCATAGCTCTCTGCCTTTCTATCTAGCTTACCTCTTTGTTTCAAATGACAACTGTCCACAGATATTATTCTTATTTTAACTGCAAAGTAATTTTGAATGATTGAAACATACATAACCTTAGAGATAATAAATCTAATTAAAAGCAAATTTATTAATTCTACTTGTGGCAGCAAAAATAAAAATTTTTGACGTAACTATTCTCGCTTATCTTACATAAAGGTAACATCACTGGAAATACATATGTAATTGGAAGAATTCTTTAAGGAATCATATTTAAAATAATTCACATGGAAGCAATATCACTATGAGAAAAATAATTATAAATATTAAGAATATTAGAATTAATTAACTTAGTGTAAAAGAAATATATCAAGTAGAAGGAGCTGTGAAGACATGTGAGGTAAAATAAATGAGTATTGGTTTGATTTTAAAGCTTTAACAGGTTTACAGTAGATGATCTCTGTAAGTTAGACAAGACTTCTTTTGAAACTGGGATATAAGGACTATGTTCTCTGTTAGGCTCTTGCAAAGTTTAGGGTCACAATTGTTTCCCCAATTCTCATCAGCTTCCTTATGAATTCTTGTTATTCCGCATGACTATCTAGTGAAATAGATCACCATTATTGGTATTGAAATATTTTTTATTTGCCATTATGATATTGGGGAACAAATATGTTCAAACTTTACAGATTAATTCACAAGTAATCCTGCATTGTGTGAAAAACAGCATTAAATCTGACAGGCTGCCAGGCGCAGTGGCTCACACCTGTAATCCCAGCACTCTGGAAGGCCGAAGTGGGCGGATCATGAGGTCAGGAGATCGAGACCATCCTGGATAACACAGTGAAACCCCGTTACTACTAAAAATACAAATATTAGCTTGGCATGGTGGCATGAGCCTGTAGTTCCAGCTACTTGGGAGGCCAAGGCAGGAGTATCACTTGAACCCGGGAGACAGAGATTGCAGTGAGCCAAGATCGCGCCACTGAACTCCAGCCTGGGTGACAGAGCGAGACTCTGTCTCAAAAAAAAAAAAAAAGAAAAAGAGAAAAGAAAAAAAAATCTGACAGGCAAAACCTTGCTTAAGGTTTTAGATCAGCAACATACTGTCACTGTGAAGTAGTCAATTCACTTAAAGGGTTATTACATTTCAATATCTTTCATTTTTTGTAAAATATACATAAAAATACTTTAAGGATTTTAGTGATTTGTAAATTATAAAGAACAATATGCAGATTAGTAATTATTCAGACAAGAAATTATTGTCATATATACTTTCCAGATAAAAAACAAAGGATAGAAAATGAAATTTAGACTAGAATTTGAGTTAATATAGAGGTTACACAGATAATCCTAAGAATAGAGTGTTACTCAGATTAGTAAAATATGAAGTAAAACAGGAAAAGTTAATAAGAACTTGTAAGCATTTTGGAGAGGGTGGAGTGGGAAGATAGCTTGAAGGGTTCAAGATCAGCCTGAGTAACATAGAGAGACCCCCATCCATACCAAAAGTAATTTTAAAAATTAGGTGGGTGTGGTGACTTATGCCTATAGTCAGCTACTTAGGAGCCTGAGGCAGGAAGACTGCTTAAGTCCAGGAGTTTGAGGCTGCAGTGAAACAATCACACCACCGCACTCCAGCCTGGGCAAGAGTGAGAACTTGATTCTGAAACATGAAAAAGAAAAAAAAAAGAGTTTGGAAGGTTATGTAATTGTGCAGACTCATACCGGGGAATGAGAAAATGAAAAAAAAAATTCTTAAAATAAGTGTAATTCCATCTTTGAGATAAAGTAATGCTCTTAGCTAAGAGCTAATAATTAAGAAAAGACTGGTCAGTAGTTGTCAGTTGTTCACTGGAGATATTTCCTTTTTTTACAGTTCTATTGAAATATAATTGACAAAAATTATATATATTTAAGGTGTACGGTGTGAGGATTTGATATAAATACAACTGTGAAATGATTATCACAATGAAATTATGGAAGTTACTTTAAAATTTAAAAACAGAACAACCACATGACCCAGGGATTCCACTTGTAGATATTTCTTTAAATTTAATAGATGCATTCTAATACTTATTACAGGCAAGCCTGAGACAGAATGAATGTAAGGTAGAGAAGGGAATTTCAAAATAATCACATATATTTTTTCTAACCTTAAATATTTACAATTTACCTGAGAAGAAAAACCTTAATGATGAAATGGAAAATAATAATAAAGAGCAGCATGTAATTACTGATAATTGTATTTTACAACTTCTGTAATATTGGATTCTATTTTTCTTTGTATCCAAGTATTTTATACTACAAGGTTTTCTACAAAAATATTTTTAGTTTTAATTTCTAGTTAGAAGAGATTTTGGTTTAGATTTTGTTACTAATTTCTATTTTACGCATTGTGATGAGTGCTGCTTGTAATGTTTTTAACAATTTATTTGCAATAACTCTCTCTTTACTGATGTTTATGTTGTGATCAAATATTTGATCACTTGTTGAAATATCCCATGTTTGCTTGAGAAACTGGTATATTTTCTATTTTTGATATGTAAAGTTTGATACATATTTGTAATATCTATGTTAAATTACCTTGTTTAGGTTTCCATATCTTCTGAAGGTATTAAACTTTACTAGATAAAATTCCTGTGGTTATGGCTTTTTACCTGGAGACATTCTTCATTTGAAAGAGTGTGGATTGGACTTAAGCAGAAAGTCACAGTATAACTTGCTTGGGAAGTTATGGTACAGAGTATAGGCATTCAGAAGCAGCTTGGACAGAAAGAATAAAATCCTGGAAAATGAAGCTATAGAAAGGATAGCCTTGCCTGGGCATGGTGGCTCAAGCCAGTAATCCTAGCACTTTGGGAGGCCAAGGTGGATGGATCACCTGAGGTCAGGCATTCAAGACCAGCCTAGCCAACATGTTGAAACTCTGCTTCTACTAAAAATACAAAAATTAGCCGGGCGTGGTGGTAGGCACCTGTAATCCCAGCTATGTGGGAGGCTAAGGCAGGAGAATCACTTGAACCTGGGAGGCAGAGGTTGCAGTAAGCCAAGATCACGCCACTGTGCTCTAGCCTGGACGACAGAGTGAGACTCTGTCTCAAAAAAAGAAAGAAAGAAAGAAAGAAAGGATAGCCCTAATTTGAATGTGAACTGTGCTCAATTTATTGGTTTATTGGTTGACACATTAATTTTGTATATGTGAGAAAAATGTCAAATTTCCTACCAAAAACCAATAATTGAAATGCTAAAAGAATAAAAAGTTGTACTCACTGCCCATTGTAGGGATGTCAGAGTTTAAACTTTTAGTCCAGGAAAGTTAACTTTGAGCTGAAACAAAAATCAATATTTTTCAGAAAAAGATAAAAAAAACAATACTCTTGACAGCATAGTATGGACAATGTCCAGTATGTGATAAAAAATACTGGACTTGTGAAGAAACGGAAAAATATATCTAATTAGCAGTTAATAGAAATCTACACCAAGGTTACTCAGACGTATTTACAGAAAAAGAACTTTAAATAATATATTTATAATATATATTTATATTATATATGAAATGGAAAATAATAATGAGTAATATATAAATATATAAGATAAATATATTAAAGTTCTTTTTCTGTAAATATATAATTATATAATTAATACATATTATATATTATATATAACTAATTATATAATAAATACATCATATAAATATGTAATATAAATATATATTCAAATATAAATTATATTATATATTTAAATCTAAATATATAATATAAATATTATATGTAATATGAATATTTATATTTTATATTTAAATCTAAATATATAATATAAATATTATATGTAATATGAATATTTATATTATATATTTAAATCTAAATATATAATATAAATATTATATGTAATATGAATATTTATATTATATATTTATACTAACATCTTCAAGGAATTAAAAGAAAATATATTCAAAATAAATGAAAAGATGGCAAAGAAATGAAAACTATAAAAATGAACACATATAGATCCTTTACATAAAAATAAAATACAAAATTCAACAGTTCGGCTTAACAGATTGAAAATGGAAAAAATGGCTGGTGAATTTGAAAAATGCATAAATATTAATTGTACAATTGAAAAACAAAGAAAACAAGACTAAAAAATGTAGAGTGTACCAATGACCTGTGAAATACAGTCAGATAGTCTTAACAAATATGCAATTGAAGACACAGACACAGAAGCTGAAAAGAGAGAAAAAAAATTTTAAACTGAACAATGTAGAAAAATTGTTTAAACTTTATGAAAAAATAAACTTAGAAATACACAATGTTCTGATGAATACAAAGATAATTGTCTCTGGAAAATCATAGTGTACTATGTACCACTGTTTCAACTTTTCTGTAAATGTGAAATTATATTAAATATTTAGATTCCTCCAAAAATAAAAGAAAATTGTTTTATTTCTGTATGCCTCAGATAGGAAGTCATGCATATAAATGGAAGACAATGTACTCAATTGAATAAAAGAAAATCCACATAAAATTAAATTTTAAAAATATTCTAAACACATTTGAAGTATATTAATACTTTAACTCATATTAAAGAACATTAAACACCATCTACACAAATGGCAAATCATAATCCAGTAATGGAAAGGAAAGAAAACATGATAAAATATTAATATTTTCTCACTTATCACATGTATGTGATAATATGAAATTAAGAAAATATGCAATATGTTCTACCTTTAAAATAGAATGTACTTTATCTTTATACGAAAAATAGTTAATATTTGAGAATTATTAAAATCTTATGGCCGGGCGCAGTGGCTCATGCCTGTAATCCCAGCACTTTGGAAGGCCGAGGCGGGCGAATCACCAGGTGAGGAAATCGAGACCATTTTGGCCAACATGGTGAAACTCCGTCTCTACTAAAAATACAAAAATTAGCCAGGTGTGGTGGCACGTGCCTGTAATCCCAGCTACTCAGGAGGCTGATGCAGGAGAATCACTTGAACCAGGGAGTCGGAGGTTGCATGGAGCCAAGATCAAGATCGCGCCACAGCACTCCAGCCTGGTGACAGAGTGAGACTCCGTCTCAAAAAAAAAAAACAACAACAACAAAAAAAACTTTTTCAACTACTATAAAAATGGACTTGTGTGAGATTATATTAAATATTCTAAAATTATATGGTAATCAAAGGTATGTTTTTTTGGGGGGACGGAGTCTCGCTCTGTCGCCCAGGCTGGAGTGCAGTGGCTCAATCTCGGCTCACTGCAAGCTCCGCCTCCCAGGTACACGCCATTCTCCTGCCTCAGCCTCAGGAGTAGCTGGGACTACAGGCGCCTGCCACCATGCCCAGCTAATTTTTTGTATTTTTACTGGAGACAGGGTTTCACTGTGTTAGCCAGGATGGTCTCGATCTCCTGACCTCGTAATCTGCCCACCTCGGCCTCCCAAAGTACTGGGATTACAGGCGTGAGCCACTGCTCCCGGCCTGATTTTTAAAAAAAATTCCACAGAGTTCAGTGCAAAACAATATGTCAAAATAGATGATAGTATATATTTGAATTTGAGATGTGAAAATAGTATTATTTCAATGTACTGAGAAATAATGGTTTATTTCATAAATAATGAAAACAATAAAATTGATCTCTGTTCTCATGCTATATACAAAAATAATTTTCATATAGATTAAATTTTAAGCAACATTTCTTTGCATGAATGTTTAGAGAAAATAAGATAATTTTGGTTTGGGGAAAGCTTTCAAAGTAGGAGAAGCACTCAAACTGTAAAGTTAATAATATATTTTATTACAACTAAAATATTATAACAAAACTTCCTCCTATTAAAAGAAAAATGAATACAAACAAACCTAAACCACAAGTATGTAATCATTTAGGCCAAATGTAAGGAGTGGCAAAACCACTCAGAATCTGTAGAAAGCAGCACAGATAAGTATTAGAGAATTAAATTATTGAAAAATTTTACAGACACAATTTCTGTATGTGTCTCTGTATGAGTGTGAGTGTGTGTGTCTGTGTGTGTGTTTGTGTGTGTACAGATGGAAAGTGAGAAATACAAAGAAAGTTGTTGTCAGTGAGGTTATTTATGTATGATTGGATTTTGGGACATTTGTATTTTATTTCTTCTATTTTTTTTCCGAAACATTTTTTAAGTAAGTAAAAAAAAAAAAAAAAATTAAGAGATTTCTAAAATACATGAGCTATAATAAAATGGTCTAAGAACTTATCTAGTAGATATTTTGGCTGATTCTATGTAAGTTTTATTATTTAATGGTGGGTTTAATTGTGTAATATGTAAATCTAGAGATTATTACTCAAATATTGATCCATTTCATTCATTTATAAATTGTATTATAAAAACAACTGCCAACTTTTTATTTTCAGAAACATTTTAACATATCTAATAATTTTAAAAATCAAAAAATGGATTTTTGCGATAAATCAGAAAAAATTGAAATAATTTTGGTGTCTGTTGATCTAAACTTACTTAATGATTTGTTTTTTTATTCACATCCCCTGTCATTTTTTTTTCTCTATCATGAAAATAACCTGTAGTGGTTCTTGCATTGGAGCAGAAATCTCATTTCATGGGTTGAGTGAAATCTTAGCAATACTATTTCTGTATATATTTGATACACTTATGTCTTATTCACTCTCCCATGCATTGGAGTTCTACCATCTGTAAAATGCATGTCTTATGCCAGGCTCTTCTTTCGTCACGAGAGGTTGCTGATTAGTACTAGTACTGATACTTGTATTTGATACTTTTAGGGTATTTTTTTCTCTTGTCAGTTTGTTATTATTATTTTTTAAGATTGTTCATTCTATTACTCTCAAAGTTTACTTTCACCTCACAGTGGATTTAATCTTTCTTCTGTTATTTAATTATTTTTTCTATAACAATTCACGTTCTTACTCATGGTTCCAACTCCTTTCAAGTTTATCAAACTTTTAAATCTTTGATTAGTAAAGTAGGCCTAAATTTGGACTAAACATTCACAAATATATATAGCTCTTATATTTGTATTCACTGTAGTAGTTGAATGCATGAGGTAAAGTTAAAGATACTGTTGTTTAAAATTATAAAGTTTATTTTTAAGCAATAATATGTGAGAATTCAGAAATACAAATGATGCTATACTTGATAACTAATTTCATGTTACTGTAGTGGCAGATTCTATAAATTATCAGGAACAGTTTGCATTTTGATCAGTGGGTATATGTGCATTACTTGGCTGTGGTTATTTAATCACAACCGGCTTGAACCTTGAGGAAAACCACCTGATATTTTATAGAGAATTTTGTCTTCAAAAATTTGTCTTTGTGTCTTACTATACGTGCATAATAAAACAGTAAATTGTTAAGGGCACAGATTCTGAAGGGAGAATTCAATATTTCCTTCACCTATAAACCAGGTTAATATTATCTTAATTTAAAACACATGGACTAAGCAATACTTTTTAGGATTATTTTTAAACAGAAAGAAAAAAATAAAAATGAAAAAAGAATAATATCAGTTACTAGCTTTGAGAGCCTTGACAAATTATTTATAATCCTTAATCTTATAATCTGTATTTTTGGGATTATAGAGACTCACTTTAATAGTTCCCTCACAGGATTACTGTGAGGATCAAGTAAGATAAAATGTGTGAAATGCTTTAGGAAGTATGGGTACTGTGCAAATATTAATTCTTACGATTACTTATGTAATTTTTTCCTCAGAGATATCAAATTCATTCTTTTTATTCTAAAGGAAGTATGTAAGTATTTTAAACAAAATTCAAGCAATATTTGCAGAGGAAATATAGTCTTATTTTTAACTTTATGATGTAATATAGAAGAGTATGAAGACTTAAGAAAATTTGAGTTTTTTAAAACAAAGTAAACAAGCTATTTTAAAACTTTTATTACTATTAGCAGTATCACTCATTTTGAAATAGTCAGTCTCAAAATGCTAGTTTTTTACATTTGACACAAGTAATATTGGAGGCCCTTATTTCGTTTGGCAGAACATGAAACCATTAACAGAGTATTATGTCTCTCAAAACCGCAGAATTTATGGCAATATGTTTCCTAGGGAAAGAGAGCAGTACATACAAAGGAAGATTAAATTTAGAGTGCATATTATTCTGTGGTACTAACGCTGGTAAAAGTTTTAAAGCCTAAGAACTGAGAATAACTGTATTCACAAAATCGCAAGTTTTCAAAAGATCCTGCTTTAGTAGTAAACTTTAGACCTGCAAAGCTCAAGTAGGATTAAAATTAATTCAGTCTTCTTGCCTTCTTAGTTGGTAAGATAGTCTTCAAAGCAATTTATATGCAAACATTTATTTGAAAAAAAGTACAAGATTATTGGGATAAATGCCTAACTCTGTTGCATATCAGTACCATTTTAAAAACTAAAGTAAGACTCATTCAGCATGCATAATAAGCCTTGTTTTGTATTTACTGGTTATTTTTATCTATAAGGTGATATCATCCAGATTTCTAAATTTTCATTAGAATTGACTTATTCAGAAAAATTGAGCATCAATGTTCATTATATTAAATATACCTAAATATCCTGCCTCTCTGGAAGTTGTTGAACAGAGTGGTATAAAATGTCCAATGCGGCTGGGCGCGGTGGCTCACGCCTGTAATCCCAGCAC
Source organism: Homo sapiens (assembly GCF_000001405.40). NCBI lineage: Eukaryota > Metazoa > Chordata > Mammalia > Primates > Hominidae > Homo > Homo sapiens. The sequence continues at coordinate 98,606,505 of NC_000011.10, read as the reverse complement.
TTTGGGAGGCCGAGGCGGGTGGATCATGAGGTCAGGAGATCGAGACCATCCTGGCTAACAAGGTGAAACCCCGTCTCTACTAAAAATACAAAAAAAAATTAGCCGGGCGCGGTGGCGGGCGCCTGTAGTCCCAGCTACTGGGGAGGCTGAGGCAGGAGAATGGCGTGAACCCGGGAAGCGGAGCTTGCAGTGAGCCGAGATTGCGCCACTGCAGTCCGCAGTCCAGCCTGGGCGACAGAGCGAGACTCCGTCTCAAAAAAAAAAAATGTCCAATGCTTTGCACAAAGTATTCCATAAGTTCTTTTTAAATGGACTTGATAAAAGTATCTGACAAAGAGTATTGCAATATACTCATGGGTATCTTGCTACTGAGTTGCCTTCAGTCTCTATAGCTGGTTTTGAGAAAGCATATGGATTCTAAAAGTTGATTATATTACTCTCAATATATTATCTAATTTAGGAAATGCAACAGATTGTCCAGGCATAATGTACATTTGACATATATTTGGTTGAGTATATTCTTTCTTATTTTCTACATGCTTATTTGTTTCATTTGGTGGTTAATGTTGGTGAAAGATTAAAATCTCCAAGTGCATAAACTGAAGAGGCCAGTTCTTCCTTTACTCACTGTTGTCCTTTTATGGAACAGTCCCATGACTTAATGCTGATTAGTTAGAAATACTCTACATGTAGGAGTTTTGGTATGTCATTTCTGACTATTTTATTTAAAACTCCCCTACCTGCCCGACACTCTGTTTCTCCATAAGCTGAAATTGTATAAACCACAAATTTATTTATTTATTGTGGACTCCTTTACTAGTATAAAAGTTCCTTCTTCACTGATGTATCCCCAGTACCAAGAAAAGTCACCAGTATGTAGTATTTCCCCAAAAGATATTTGTTAATACACGAATAAATAATAGGTAATGACATTGGTAAAGATAAAAGCGTCCTGTGAAGTCTTAATGCTATAAGATTATGTTGGAACTTGCTGTTTCTTGGTCTCCCAAATGCCTTGATTTTTATTAGTTTATCAACTTCCTCAGTTATCTTTCCATGAATTTCTGTTTACTTAAGTGTACCAGAATCAATTTCTATTTCTTACAAGGGACAAAAATAGAGGCCTAAAATCCTTCATTGTTCCTCTAACACTAGGAAATTCAGCAAAAGAAAGAGTATATGATATTGAGAATCTTATTACTACAAGTCTATACATAAACATATATATATATTTTATTATTATTATACTTTAAGTTTTAGGGTACATGTGCACATTGTGCAGGTTAGTTACATATGTATACATGTGCCATGCTGGTGCGCTGCACCCACTAACTCGTCATCTAGCATTAGGTATATCTCCCAATGCTATCCCTCCCCGCTCGCCCCACCCCACAACAGTCCCCAGAGTGTGATATTCCCCTTCCTGTGTCCATGTGATCTCATTGTTCAATTCCCACCTATGAGTGAGAATATGTGGTGTCTGGTTTTTTGTTCTTGCGATAGTTTACTGAGAATGATGATTTCCAATTTCACCCATGTCCCTACAAAGGACATGAACTCATCATTTTTTATGGCTGCATAGTATTCCATGGTGTATATGTGCCACATTTTCTTAATCCAGTCTATCATTGTTGGACATTTGGGTTGGTTCCAAATCTTTGCTATCGTGAATAATGCTGCAATAAACATATGTGTGCATGTGTCTTTATAGCAGCAGGATTTATAGTCCTTTGGGTATATAGCCAGTAATAGGATGGCTGGGTCAAATGGTATTTCCAGTTCTAGATCCCTGAGGAATCGCCACACTGACTTCCACAATGGTTGAACTAGTTTACAGTCCCACCAACAGTGTAAAAGTGTTCCTATTTCTCCACATCCTCTCCAGCACCTGTTGTTTCCTGACTTTTTAATGATTGCCATTCTAACTGGTGTGAGATGGTATCTCATTGTGGTTTTGATTTGCATTTCTGTGATGGCCAGTGATGATGAGCATTTTTTCATGTGTTTTTTGGCTGCATAAATGTCTTCTTTTGAGAAGTGTCTGTTCATGTCCTTTGCCCACTTTTTGACGGGGTTGTTTGTTTTTTTCTTGTAAATTTGTTTGAGTTCATTGTAGATTCCGGATATTAGCCCTTTGTCAGATGAGTAAGTTGAGAAAATTTTCTGTTTTTTGAGACAGAGTTTCACTCTTGTCGCCCAGGCTGGAGTGCAATGGTGCAATCTCTTGGGTTACTGCAACCTCTGCCTCACGGTTTCAAGCGATTCTCCTGCCTTAGCCTCCCAAGTAGCTGGGATTACAGGTGCCCGCCACCACACCTGGCTAATTTTTGTATTTTTAGTAGAGACGGGGTTTCACCACATTGGCCAGGCTGGTCTCAAACTCCTGACCTCAGGTGAACCACCTGCCTTGGCCTCCCAAAGTGCTGGGATTACAGGCATGAGCCACCATGCCTGGCCCAAACACATTTTTTTGATATTGCATCATATAAAAACAGGGGACAGATTTTTGCCACGTATGGAGGGTGTGTTTCAGATCGTATGACCTTTAATTTAAGCATCGTGGTATTTACAAGTTCACCTTCCAGGCCAGTGGGAGTAATGGGAGATAGGTTTTCACAGTCTAGAGTAGCAGGTAGCAATGATTTAATGTCTGTTTTTCTTAACAAGGTCTATGTAGTAACATACTCTTGGGTAGGAGACAAATGGGAATTTTTTAATTACTGTCTTTGTTCGGGTGCCATAACAAAATATCATAGACTGGTTAGCTTAAACAACAGAAATTTATTTCTCACAATATGGAAGATTGTGAAATCCAAGATCAAGATGCTGCTGATTCAGTTTTGATGTCCTGCTGTGACCTCTCTCAGCCTTTCCTCAGTGTATGCACATGGAGAGAGAGAAAACTGTGCTCTTTCTTCCTCTTCTCATAAGTACACAATTCTATCTATTCAGGGCCTTACTCCTATGGCCTCATTTTATCTTAATCATTCCCATCAATGCCCTTCTTTCAAATATAGTCACACTGGGCTTTTTTTTTTCCTTTGAGACGGAGTTTCGTTCTTGTTGCCCAGGCCTGGAGTGCAATGGCGCAGTCTCAGCTCACCACAACCTCCACCTCCTGGGTTCAAGCAATTCTCCTGCCTCAGCCTCCCTCCTGGGTAGCTGGAATTACAGGCATGCACCACCACGCCCAGCTAATTTTGTATTTTTAGTAGAGACAGGTTTCTCCATGTTGCTCAGGCTGGTCTCGAACTTCCAACCTCATGTGATCTGTCTGCCTCAGTCTCCCAAAGTGCTGGGATTACAGACGTGAGACACCGTGCCTGGCCCACATTGGACTTTAACATATATAGTTAATGACTATTCCAGGCTATCAAGAAAAATGCTGCTGGTATCTTATATTTGTAACTATTTCATATAGTGTTTTTACATATTTGATCAGCAAAACATCTCAGAGGTAGGTTGTACAGATATGAGCACAGGACTTAAATTATCATTGAGGAAAAAGAGTCTACATTGTAGACATTTATTTTTTAAAAAATGAACATTTATATTGGTGGTACAGCAATGGATTCTTGGTGTTTTGACTCACTTTTCACAATATCTATTTTTTCACAATGCCAAAAGAACTGAAATAACTCTCTGAGCTCTTCTTATCTCATTTTCTTTCTATTTTCAGTTCCTTGCTTGACTCACAGTGTCTTTACTATGCTCCAGGTTTGCTATATGTCCAATTGGATTTCTATGCTTCTCATTTAACTTCTCTCTATCAGAAAAAGTTCCTGAACACTTGTTATTTCATGACTCACATTCAAAATTATTCAAAACTATTTTAAACAATAGAATACAATCTACACATAAATGTGTAAATCATACATTTTCTTGGTATTGGCATTATGGTGTATGGAATATAAAAATAAAATCAGCAAAGCCAAAAAAATTAAAATTATATTGAAGAAATTAATTACATATAGTTTATAACTCAATAGGAACAAAATACTATCCAACAATAAAACAAAAACAACTTTTCCTCAGCAAGTTATTTTGGATATGAACAAACCAATTGTAAATTCTCTTTGGAGCAGAAAAAAACCCGGAATAACCAAAAAATATTCAAGGCGAATAACAAAGTTAGATAATTGATACTGCACAACTCCAAGACTTATTGTAAAAGAGAGTGTGTTGTTTGAAAAAAGAAAAAAGACAAATAGGTTAATAGAACAGAAATAGATTTGCATAAATACAGTCAACTAATCTTTGGCAAAGGAGGAAAGGCAACATAATGGATGTCTTATCAACAAATGGTGCTGAAACAATGGATATTAATACACAAAAATAAAATGAATCTAGACACTATTGTTACACCCTTCACAAAAACTAACTCAAAATAGATAACTCAAAATAGATTACAGACCTAAGTGTAAAACAAAAACACTATTAAACTCCTGTAAGATAACATAAGAGAAAATCTAGGTTACCTTGGGTTTGGTGATAATGCTTTAGATACAACACCAAAGGCACAATCCATGAAAGAAAGCGTTGATAAACTGGACATCATTAAAATTAAAATTTTTGTTTGGAGGCAGAGCAAGATGGCAAAATAGAAGTCACCAGTAATCACCCCCCTCTGCAGGAACACCAAATTGCACAACTATTCACAAAAAATATCACCTTTATAAGAACCAAAAATCAGGTGAGATCACAGTACCTGGTTTTAACATTATATTCAAAAAAGACACACTGAAGAGGATAGGAAAGACAGTCTTGAATCATCTGCACCACCCATTCTCTATTCCTTTCACTGTGGCACTGAAAGAAAATCTGCGAGCTTGGGAGAAGGAAAGCACAATGATTGTAGGATATTGCACTGGAACTCAGTGCTGCCCTGTCAAAACAGAAAGTAAAACAGAGAGGAGCTCAGCCAGGGACTATGGAAGGAGCATTTGGATCAGCCCTAGCCGTAAAGGAATTGCCCATCCTGGCAGTCAAAACTTGAGTTCTGGCAAGCCCCACAACTGTGGGCTAATGTACTCTGGAGTACTAAATAAACTTGAAAGGCAGTATACACCACAAGGACTGCAATCCCCGGGCTCTGTGCTGGGCTTGAAGCCAGTGGACTTGGGGTGCATGTGACCTAGTAAGGTACCAGCTGGAACAGCCAATTTGAGTGATTGCATCACCCCTCCCTTAACCCCAGCACCGCAGCTCCCAGCACGAGGAGACACTCATTTCTTCTGCTTGACGAGAGGAGAGGGGCAAGTAAGGAGAACTTTGTCTTGCAGCTTTGATACCAGTTCAGCCACAGTAGAAGGAAGTAGCAGGTAGAGCTCTGAGGTCCCCATTCCAGGCCCTAGCACCCAGACCACATTTCTAGAGACACTGTGGGCCAGAAGGGAAGCCACTGCCTTGAAGGGAAGCACCCAGTCCTGGCAGAAGTTATCACCTGCTGACTTAGGAGCCCTTGTCTTGTATAATCAGTAGTGGTAGCCAAGCAGTACCCACTACAGGCCTTGGGTGGGACTCAGAGCTATGCTGGCATCAGATGTGACTCAGCACATTCCCGCCTGAGATGGTTACAGGGAGAGACCTCCTCTTCTGTTTGACGAAAGGAGAGGGAAAAGTAAAGGGGCATTGTCTCCAGCTTGGGTACCAGCTTGGCCACAGTGGGGTAGAATATCAAGTGGGTTCCCAGGGTCCCTCATACCAGGCCTTGGCTCCTGGATGGCATTTCTGGACCTTCCCTAGGCCAGAAGGGAGCCTACTTCCCTTCAGGGAGAGACTCAGGATGGACAGCATTCACCATAAGCTGACTGAAGGGCCCCTGGATGTTTAGTGAACATCAGCAGCAAAGACGTAGATGTGGACCTGGGGTAATAGTGGCCATATAAAGAGAATCACCTTCTTGAGGAAAGGGGAGAGAAGAATAGGAAAGACTTTGTTTCATGGCTTGGGTGCCAGCTCAGCTGCAGCAGAAGAGAGCACCAGTTAGATTTCATAGGTTTTCAACTTCACGCCCTGGCTCCTGGGAGGCAACTCTGGACCTACCCAGGGCTGAAGAAACTTGCCATCCTGAAGGAAAGGACACGAGCATGGCTCCATGTGTCACCTACTGATTGTAAGGGCCTTGAATAAACAGGTAATAGCAAGGTAGTGGTCACTGCAGACCTTTGGCAAGACCCAGTGCTGTACTGGCTTTGTGTCTGACTCAGCATAGTTTTAATGGTGGTGGCCACCCGGGTGCTTTTATTACCCTTCCCCCAGCTCTAGGCAGCTCAGCAAAGACAGAGATACTCTGTTTGCTTGCAGAAAAGTAAAGGAGCAGAACAAGAGTCTTTGCCTGGTAATTCAGATAATTCTTCCAGATTATACACAAGACCACCAAGGTAGTATTTCTGAGTCTGCAAGAGCCACGACATCACTGGGCTTTGGGTGTTCCCCAAAGCTGATATGGCTACAGTGACATGTGAGCTTTCACACAGATAATTCAAAATAGCTTTTCTGAGGAAGTGAAATGAAATTCAAGATAACTCAGAGAAGGAATTCAGAATCCTATTAAATACATTTAGCAAAGAGATTGAAATAATTCAAAATAATCAAGCAGAACTTATTGAGTAGAGCAATGCAAAGGACATACTGAAGAATGCATCAGAGTCTCTTAACTGCAGAATTAACTAAGCAGAAGAAATACTTAGTTTGAAGACAGGCTATCTGAAAATACAGTCAAAGAAGACAAAAGAAAAAATGATAAAGAATAATAAAGCATGCCTAGAAGATCTAGGAAATACCTCAAAAGGGGAAATCTAAGAGTTTTGGCCATAAAAAGGACATAGAGAGATTGGGGAAGAAAATTTATTCAAAGTGGTAACAATGGAGAACTTCCCAAACCTAGAGACACATATCAATATTCAAGTACAAGAAGGTTACAGAACACCAAGGGGACTTAACCCAAATAAGACTACTTCCAGGTATTTAATAATCATACTGCCAAAGGTCAAGAATAAATATAATATCCTAAAAGCAGCAAGGGAAAATAAACAAATAACATGCAAAGGCATTCCAATATGTCTGGAGCAGACTAAGTCCTTACTTATCAATAATGGCATTGAATGTTAGTTGACTACACTCTCCAATGAAAAGACATAGAGTTGCTAAATAGATTAAAAAAATGAAACAAGCCCCAATGTCCTGTTGCCTACAGGAAACACACTTTCTCTATCAAGATACATATAGAGTGAAAATAAAGCGACAGAAAAAGATATTTCATGCCAATGGAAACCAAAAAGGAGCCAGAATAGCTAAACATATCAGACAATATAGATTTCAAGACAAAAACTATTAAAAAGACAGAAAGAATGTCATTATATAAGGAAAAAGCAGTCAGTTCAGTAAGAGGGTATAAAAAGTATAACTATATATGCACCCAACACTGGAGCACCTAGATATATAAAGCAAATATTATTAGAGCAAAAGAGAAAGACAAAAGTCAATATAAAAATAGCTGGAGAATTCAACACCACACTTTCAGCATTGGACAGATCATCTAGACACTATCAAAAAGACACATTGTACTTAACCTACACTAAAGAACAAATAAACCTAATAGATATTTACAGAACATTTCATGCACTGGCTATAGAATATACATTCTTCTCAGCCCATGGGCCATTCCCAAGGATTGAGTATATGTTATGCCACAAAACAAGTCTTTAACATTTCAAAAATTGAAATAAAATCAACTATCTTCTTTAAACACAATGGAATAAATCTAGAAATCAATAACAATAGAAATTTAGGTAACTATACAGACACATGAAAATGAATTAAAATGCTCCTGAGTGACCAGAGAGTCAATGAAGAAATTAAGAAGAAAATTAAGAGATTTCTTGAAACAAATGAAAATGGAAACAAAACATTCCAAAACCTATGAAATACACAAAAGCAGTACTAAGGGGAAAGTTTATTTCAATAAGTGCCTACATCAAAACAGTAGAAAACCTTCAACTAAACAACCTTAAGTGATTGAACTTAAAGCACTAGAAAAGAGAGCAAACCAAACCCAAAATTAGTAGAAGAAAATAAATATTAAAGATCAGAGCAGAAATAAATGAAATTGAAATGAGAAAAACAATATAAAATATCAACAAAATGGAAATTTGGTATTTTAAAAATATAAACAAAATGACAAACCTTTAGCCAGACCAATTAACACCAAAAGTGAAAATCCTAATGCAAATTATGGACTTTGGGTGATAATGATGTGTCAGTGTAGGTTCCTCAATGATAACAAATGCACTCATCTGGTAAGGGACATTGATAATGGGGGAGGCTAAGCATGTTTCAGGGAAGAGGTTATATAGGACATCTCTGTACCTTCCACTCAATTTTGATGTGAATCTAAAACTGCTCTAATAAATAAAAGTCTATTAAAAAGAAACTCTTGATTTCCATGTTTTTGTTTGAAGGAGTTGTTGCTATGTATAATAGAAGGAATGTGTGTTTACAGAACATTTCATGCTCTGGCTACAGAATATAATTTCCATGTTTTTGTTTGAAGGAGTTGTTGCTGTATATAATAGAAGGAATATATGTTTTACCAAGGGACCCATTTACATTCAAATTTTGTTTCAATCTGTCACATCAAGTAGTAGAATTTCTAAGTCAAATTCCACTTTTGCAAACTGTAAATGATTAAACCCATCTCATGAAGTTATTGTGAAGATTACAGAAAAGCATATATGAAAGCTGCCTTGCATGTTATACTTTTGTGTAAATACAAATGCTTTCACCAGCACCCTTAATTTGCTTCTTATCCCTTAAAAATCTGCCATTGGGCAATAACTTATATCATACACAATATCTTCCTATGTGACAGACTTGCTGTACTCTTTATTATCTAAAAAATACACACCAATGTAATCAATCTCTCTAGGGAAAAAATAAATTGTGTGGGATGTCAATTCCTGAGTGTAAACAGTAATTTGCAAGGTCAAGTCCATCTACAAAATAGTTTTATATGCAGGAGGCCTATGAATTAACCAAAAAAAAGTGTATTTTGACTAAAAGAAATTTAATTCATCCTTAAGGCAAATTAATTATTTTCACCTCAGATATATTTCCAACTAAAATGGGAAAACAAAAACTCTCATTTGTTACCAAGCCCCTAGCCTCGTTACTGGCTTTCCATTTCTCTTCTGAAAGGCTGCTCAGTATTTTGAAACTTTTGTTTCCTGTTCAGCATTAAATTTAAGATTACTTTATAAATAAATTTACAAAAGGCAAAAAATTGAAAGTGTAGTAAAATTCTTAAATTTGATTTATTATCAATAAATGAAACAAGAAAATTAGTAATGGTTTATCTTTTAATTCTGGACTGTAACAGAATTAATCTAATTTTTTATCCTTAAGGTACATTTTAATAAACATGTTTCTAGTAGCAGTAAAACATTCATTAATAAATTCACGCATATTATAAGAGTATATTATGGCAATGTATTAATTTTAAAAAGATAAGCATACCCATTAATCTACCACCCAGGCAAAAACATATTAATAGAAACTTAGAAGCACCTCTGTGTACTCTCTCAATTTCAACTTCCTTGGTTCTCATCAGTAATGATTATCCTACTAACATCACTAAATAATTTTGCCTATTTTAGAACTTTGTGTAAATTGAATACTATATGTCTATAATGTTTCATTTATCTTGATCAATATTATGTTTTGAGATAGCAGATTCAGTTTTGCTGAGTGAATCTTCAGCTTCTTCATTATTATACCATAGCAAATGCCATGGTGACCACATACTGGATAAGTTTATGGAAGTGCACTAAAAGGGACTTTAAGATTTAAAAAATTGTATTACCTTTATTCTCTCAGACAGTTCAGCAACCAAAATCCATTGGATTTCTGGGGATAGCAGACAGGTGAACTAAACATGGATATTATAAGACTACTACACCTGTATGTTTGATGATGATTCTGATGTTGCAATTCACCTTAAATGTAATATTCCTTTTGAGTTAAAATGTTGAACAAGACAGTTCAAAGATAGAGAAGTTACTCCAAAGATAGAGAACTCCAAAGATAGAAGTTACTTCAAAGTTACTCCAAAGATACAGAACCAATATGAGGGTCTATCAATGTCCACTTATATCTATCCCAGTTCTAAAATTAAAGGCCAAGAACACAACCAGAATTACCCATGACTCACTGGGCTTAAGTCCAAACCTTTTTTTTTTTTCACCCAATCTCTGTTAAGTCTCACTCTGAAGATTATTGCATTAGTCTGTTTTCGCACTGCTATAAAGACATACCTGAGACTGAGTAATTTTTAAGGAAAAAAGGTTTAATTGGCTCACAGTTCCACATGGCTGAGGAAGCCTCAGGAAACTTACAATCATGGCAGAAGGAGAAGAGGCACATCTTACAGGGCAGCAGGTGAGAGAGAAAGGTGAGGAGTGAAGGGGTAACAGCCCATTATAAAACCATCAGATCTCATGAGAACTCACTCACTACCACAAGAATAGCATGGGGGAAACTGCTCCCATGATCCAATCACCTCCCACCAGTTCTCTCCCTAGATACATGGGGATTATTGGTAATAAAATTCAAGATGAGATTTGGGTGGGGACACAGAGCCAAACCATATTAATCATAATGTAATTATTGTCAGCTTAGAACACCGTTATCTCATAGAGGGCCTTGGGATAAGGTTAGGAATATTCTTTACCTAATCAATGAAGTATTCTATGGTCTACTGACAAAGCGAGGTTTGTTCTTTCCTTCTGGCAAAGAAAAAAGTGTTATCTCTCACAGTCAGAATGCCTCACAAAAATTTGAATTCCAAGATTATCAGGTTAGCTTCTCCATACCTAAGTCCAGGTCTGAGCCTCACATCCTTTTTCCCCCCAGAATTTTGTCTTGAAAGCCATTAAAAGTGGCTATCTAGTAGCAAAATCCTCATAACAATCATTGTTTTCATACTAATTTGGTGCAGTAGCCACTTGATTACCCAATGCTTTCTTTCCAACTGCATCTCCTGTAAACCAATTAAAGCTGAAATTTATTGTGATTATGATGCCGCTGTGTGTCAGTGGTTGTTACCACCAACCACAACATTTCTACAGTAAGGGCTTCCATGAATCCTACTAATGCCTATATTGGTACTGAAATTTCTGTAGCTTCAACCACAGCAGTCATAATAGAGGTTATTCCAAGACCCAATTTTACTTTGGGAGATCTTTAATAAAACAATCATGGAATCATCATGGATTTATGTCATAATATCAGAGTGAGCTTTGCTAAGGCAGACACAGATGGAAATCAAGGAAAATAACCAATTCCAGGTGAAAAGTGGAACCAAGTAGAAATAGAGAAATATGTAGATATCAGAAAATAAATCATCAGTCTAATTAACTTAGTCAATGTCATATGGGTATACTAGAATATTATAATGGTGTTTTGCTTGCATTTCAATTTTATAAAATTTCTAGTTAAGTCTCTACTATTTTTTAAAGGAATTTTTGTAGGTCTTTTTAATAGAAATGTATAAGCATTTAAAAAAATTATATTTGGCATAATCACATACTTCTTGTGGATAATTGAAGGTGAATTCAAACACATACATCAAACATTTCAGCAAAGGCAAAAACACTTATTAGTTTATCAATTTAGGGAAATTTCTATTCAATTATTAGCTTACTACAAAGAAACCAAATAAAGACTTCGATGACCTCACACTACAAAGAAGATGGATATTACTAATTGGTCCAGTAAAGTCATTAAATAAACAAATATCTTCACGATCAAGAAACTCCGAGATGGGAGGGGAGATAGTATTTCCAAAATTTACACATCATGTTATTTACAATATCAAAGATTAAAAAAATTTGAGACACACAAAGAATGAAGAATGTGTATTTCATACATAAGAAAAACAACAACGACAACCAAAAAACAGTCAATAGAAACTGTTACTGAGAAGCTGAGGTATTAATTGGACTCACTAGACAAAGACTTCATATTAGCTCTTATAATTATATTCGAAGGACCAAAGGAAACCATTAAAGGAATTAAGGGAATGCATACAAATTCCCACCAAATGAAAACAACGAGATAGAAATTTTAATAAGGAGCCAAGTAAAAATGTTGAAGTTGAAAAGTACAAGTTTAATGAAAAATATATTAAAGAGATTCAACAGCAGATATGAACTGGGAGGAAAATAAATCAGCAAATTTTAATATAGGTCAGTTGAAATTATTCATCTCAGGAACAGAAAAAAATTTTTTAAATGAAGAAATTAGAATCTCAGAGACCTCTGGGGGCACCATCAAGCATACCATCACGTATGTACGTAATGGGAATCTCAAAAGGAGACGAAAGAAAGAGGGATGGAAATGATATTGTATAAAAACTAGTTGAAAACTTCCCAAGTTTGATGAAAAGTATTAATCTGTACATCCAAGAAGCTTAGCATTCTCTAACTATGACAAACTAAATGAAATCTGCACCTAGACACATTAGAGTCAAACATTCAAAAGACAAATATTAAAGAAAAAGGATATTGAATGAAGCAAGAGAAAAGTAAGCTGTTATGTACAAGTGGTCCTCAACTAGATGAGCAGTTCATTTCTCATCAGGACCCATGGAGGTAAGAGGCAGGGAGAAAACATATTCAAAATTTGAAAACAAAAGTAAACAGTTGAATTTATAACTGTGATATAGCTGTTATGGAGGTAAGAAGGAGGGAGAAAACACATTCAAATTTTGAAAAAAAAAGTCTACAGTTACATTTATAACTGTGATATAGCTGTAAATGCCTCAATCACAAAAAAAAATGACCTAGACTCAATAAACTAACACATTATCTTAAGAATCTTAACAGGAAAGAGCAAATTTAACTCAAAGCAAACAGAGGAAAGAAAAAAAGTGATTAAAGTAGAAGCAAATGAAATAAAAATAGAAAAATTAGAGAGAAAAATCAGTGAAACTAGAGTTGATTCATTGAAAGGATCAATAACATTCACAAAACTTTAGCTAGATTTACTAAGTAAAACAGACAAAACTTAAATAAAAGCCTGTATGCAGGTTATGGCTGATATCATTTTATTTTATTTTATTTATTTATTTTTGAAACAGAGTCTCACTCTGTCGCCCAGGCTGGAGTGCAGTGGCCGCTGTCTCGGCTTACTGCAACTTCTGGCTCCCAAGTCCAAGCGATTCTCTTGCCTCAGCCTCCCGAGTAGCTGGGATTAGAGGCGCGCGCCATCATGCCCAGCTAATTTTTGTATTTTTAGTAGAGACAGGGTTTCACCATGTTGGCCAGGCTGGTCTCCAACTCCTGACCTCAGGTGATCCACCCTCCTCGGCCTTCCAAAGTGCTGGGATTACAGGCATGAGCCAGCACACACGGCCTGATATCATTTAAAATGTAGTCAATCCACATTTAATTTTAGTTTATATTTAGTGCACTTAATGGTTTAAGTTTGTCATTTTACTGTCTAATCTTTATTTGGCCCCATAAGTCTCTAGGGAATTTTTTTTTATTCCCTCGTTTTTCTTGATTTATTGTGCTTTTAATTATTTTTGAATTTTCTGTTTTAAATTTATTGTTTTATTTTTTTGCATTAATAGATTTTATTTGTAAATTAACTTGTATTGTTGTCTCTCTCTATATATGTAAAATATACACACACATATCAACTACACACTATTATTATTATTGGGTCAAATTCACTTATCTTTAACCACATACTAATTTCCTTGCTCTTTCTTCCTTTCTGAATAAACAAGCTTTCTTCTGATAAGAAAAATATTACTTATGACAGAATAAACTCTTTAGTGTCTCCATTAACATGTGTTTGATAACCAATTTCCCTAATGATTTTGTTTTTATTTTGAAAATGCCTTATTTTCAGTTTGCTAGATATTTTACCAGACATTTATATTTACTGGATGATTTACTAGATCTATCAAACGTATATCTGAAAGTAAGGCATTATATTTAATTTACTATTTATTTTATTTAATTATTTTATTTAAATTACTATTTTATTTCATTATTTTATTTAATTCATGCTGTATTTACTAGACTTTATATTTACCAAACTTTTAAATTGGCAAATATTTTCTTGTAGCACCTTGAAAATGATCCATCTACTTTCAGTGAGAAAATCATTTAACAGTCCTGTTGCTGCTTCATTAAAGGTAATGTGTTCCGTGTGAGTGTGTGTTTTTGTTTTGTTTAGTTTTTTTGCTACTTTTGAGATTGTCACTGGTGTTTGATTTACAGTACTGTAATATAAGGCATCTGGAAGTAGTTCTGGATTGCAATTTTCCTGGGATCTATGTTTTTTATGTCTTTCTTGTCTCTTCAAATATTGGTTAGTTACCAGTCTCTCTCTGCTCCATTTTCGACATTCCAATTTAATATCTTAAACATTTTTACCATGTTTTATGTTTCTATATTTTCATCCATATTTCTGTATGTTAATCTGGAAATTTTTTTTGCTCTGAATTCCAGTACAATAATACTCTTTTTTTCAAAAAATCTATCTTTAATATGCTTCTTTTTTCTTTTTTCTTTTTTGAGATGGAGTCTCGCTCTGTGGCCCAGGCTGGAGTGCAGTGGCGTGATCTCGGCTCACTGCAAGCTCCACCTCCTGGGTTCACACCATTCTCCTGCCTTAGCCTCCTGAGTAGCTGGGACTACAGGCGCCCACCACCGTGCCCGGCTAATTTTTTTTTGTATTTTTTAGTAGAGACAGGGTTTCACCGTGTTAGCCAGGATGGTCTCGATCTCCTGACCTCATGATCCTCCCGCCTTGGCCTCCCAAAATGCTGGGATTACAGGCATGAGCCACCGAGGCCTGGCCAATATGCTTCTGACTTCTTAAATTCAGTTACTATATTATGTAGTGTGGGATTCCTTTAAGAATCTTTCTGTTAATTTTCAGTTTTTTACAGAAATTCTCCATTTTTAAACTTAATTGGATAAATTGGTCATAGATATTTTAACATCCAGGTCTTACAACTCTATCATCTAGAGCTAAATTGATTCTCTGAATATTATTTGTTTTTTTAAAAAAAACCTTTTAATTTTTATCTTTTTTTGTTTGTTTGTTTGTTTGTGTGCTTGCTTCCGGGTTATTTTTTACTGAGTGGCACTCAGACAAAAAAATTACATCCATAACTGGAGACTTTTTGTGATGTTATTGTCCTCCAGAGAGTATTTTCTTTTTCTCTGGAAGGCAACTACAGTGGGAGCAAGTTAGCTTAATCTACTAGGGGTTGACATGATCTGAACCTGGGCTTCAGTTTACGTGAGGATTTGTTTATTTCCAATTTATTCTTAATTCAGAGGTGCAGCCTCCCAAAGATATCATCCAACATCCTGGGGGCTGTAGAATGGCCTTTCCTTTTTCATGGGTTTTGAACTTCAGTGTCCCCTCAGCCCTCTAAGACTGACAAAAGCTCTATTTAGCTTTTCAACTTTTCAATGCAACTTTCAGAATTGACAATTCCCTTGGAGACAGAAGCACTGCTAAATCTGTTCTCTATTCCCTGCCTTTTCTTCTGTCCAGATTTCAGTATCACATAATCTCATGACTGTCTAATGGTAGTTCGTAGTTCTATAATGACTTCAAAGACAATTTTTGTATTTAGCCTGATTTTTCTAGTTGTTTCTTAGCATGTTTACCTTTCCAGAAGCAGAACTCAATCTACTTCCTCTGTAATATTTTGTTATTGTGCTTTCATAATTGTTATGTATGCTACCTACTAAAATGGCTTTATCTTGCCATATTTCGAACATATTTCTTCTCTATCACATAGTATCATACTGAATTATACAGGATGTCTAAGGTGACATGCATTTTAAAAGTTATTGAAAATTATTTTCATTAGTACATTAAAGTCCAATAAGGAGCAATTCTTACTCATAATTATTTTCAGATATCAAAATAACTGCAAGAAAAAAAAACACTGACAAAATTAAAAACAAAACCAAAAAACCAAGGACAGCAATTTTTGTTTACTACAGAAGAAGGTAAATCATTTTATCCAAAAAGTCAGTTGGTACGGGAACTTGACGATACACAAATATCTGTTTTAAAATATGTTGGAAGTACTATTACCTATGTGATTCATTTATTTTTTTAAATTAATTAAACAAAAAGTCCACTTTCTTTTCTTTTTAAAAATTTTATTTTAGATTCATAGGTAAACGTGCAGGCTTGTTACAAGGAAGGGTATTTTGGGACTTGTTGTGGTTTGGGCTTCTAGTGAACCCATCACTCAAACTGTCAACAAAATAGGTTGCTTTTCAACCCTTGTCTACTGTCCTTCCTTCCCCTTTTTGAAGTCCCAGCGTCTACTATTTCCGTCATTATATCTATGTGTACGCATTGCATACACATAGTCTAGCTCCCACTTGTTAGTGAGAACATAAAGTATTTGATTTTCTGTTTCCGCATTAATTCACATAAGAAGACTATGGCAAATGTAATATGTTTGTTGATTTCATATATAACTTTAATTTACATTTTCACATCTTAAAAATTTTCTTTGCTTGTCGTTTGCTTTGCTTGACAATGCAGCCAGTAATAGTAATAATTACATCTATAAACAAATAAAAAACTTAAATTTCATCTAGATATAGAAATAAAATAGAAATATTAGCTAAAATATAGCAACTTACATTATACCAAAATTTTTCCAGATGATTTATTTTAAATGCACCAATGTGTTTATTTGTCACTCAGTGACTTTGTCTTTACCATCAGTCCTCATTAGTTATAGTTATTGACTTCTAATTTGAAATCAAGACAGATGACTTCTGTTTACTTTGCAGGTATTTACATGTGTGAAAATTTCCTCCAAATAAACCATTTTCAGTATGAGTAAATTGAAAATATATATACAATTTTTCTATTCTTCCTAACATATAAAAATTATGTCTATTAACCTGTAGCATCCCACACATGTTCATATAAACCAATTCTGGATACTGTGGGAATACTTAATAACTTCATTAAAAATGATTATCTATTCCTGTGATAGATACATCTGGTTAAATTGATGGTAAGCTAATAAATATTACTATCAAAGAACATTAGGTTTAAGTCCTGATTTGGACATTTACTATTTCAGCAAATTTCAGCGAGTTACTAAATTTTTCTAAGTATTACTTTTCTCACCTGTTAAATGGTAAAAATAATAACGTCATTACTGTGTAATAACCTCATGACAGTGTAATTCTCAAAAAAGAAAATATGTACTCTAGTATGGCAAGCAATAGGCGTTCAATAAATGGTAGCTACCATTCCCTTACTTTTATAAGGGAGGTGAGTTTACCCCCAAAGAAGTCTACCTGGCTTTGTCTGTCTCAATTTAAACTACAACTTATACTTATTGTATACTAAAAATAATAACAATTTCAACGTGGCATCTTTTGAAACCCTGGGAAGTCCAGCCAACAAAATGTATTTTCCATTCCAGCACTGAGAACAGGAACCATGTCTTGCTTGATTTTTTTTTGTTCCCCAGAAACCTGCCCAGTGACTGGCTAATGTATTAGTCACTCACATTTATTGAAAGGCATATAGGAATTTTCTAAGTTCTAAAATGTTTCATTGTTCTATTTTTCTTTTTTTTCCTTTCTACAGTTACAATAGGATTTCTTGGGTTCTAAATTGTTTGCTTTTAGTTATTTTTTTCTTTTTCATTTGCTTATATTGTTTCTACAGTTAGGAAAGGTGTGTTTATTTATTTATTTATATGTACATATATGACAAAACATTCCAAAGAAACAAATATAATATCCATATCTCTGAAAATGTTTATCTTAGCTGATGCTTTCCTTTACAATTTACACAACTATAGAAATGTAAACCTTTATAGTATGTATATTTATTCTGTAATCCTTTCCTAATCTATAAATTAGTCCAATAGTTTAGTTACATTTGTTTTCTCAATACATCTATAAAATTTTAAATAAAATATTCAATTTTTTAAAGAATTATGAAACATGTTTACTTTTAATGTAAAACTTATGTCTCCAAAGTGTAATATATGCTATAGAATAAATGCTAATGGAAACATTTTCCTATTATGGTGACTCACTGTATTCATTTAAAAGCCAAGGGGCTACTGGACTTAATTTTTTTTTGTTATTCAAATAAATGGCCTGGAGAAATATATTCTTAAGCATGTAAACCAACGATATAATCCTAAGGTCCCTAACTGATTGAACAGACTCCTTCTTGACCAAGGAGACCCTAGAGAATCTTGAAAAACTGAGTTCCCAACCATGACAGGAAGGGAGTTGATGTGGTTTGGCTGTGTCCTCATCCAAATCTCATCTTGAATTGAAGTTCCCATAATCCCCATGTGTTGTGGGAGGGACCTGGTGGGTGGTAATTGAATCATGGAGGTGGTTTTCCCCATGCTGTTCTCATAATAGTGAGGAAGTTCTCACAAGACCTGATGGCTTTATAAGGGACTTCCCCCTTCACTGAGCTCTCATTCTTCTTCTTGCTGCCACCATGTGAAGAAGGACATGTTTGCCTCTCCTTCCTCCTGAGGCCTCCCCAGCCATGCTGAACTGTAAGTCAGTTAAAACTACTTCCTTTATAAATCACCCAGTCTTGGGTATGTCTTTATTAGCAGCATGAGAATGGACTAATACAGGAGGTCAGACAGGCCTTGTTATACTTCCTCTCTTTTGGAGTTAGGAACAACTGACCAGCATTAATGTTAAAATAGAGATCATAAGACTGACAAAACAGACTCTTTGTGTCATTAAGATAACAAATTTCAACCTGACTCTGGTATATCATCACATGACAGATAGAAGACAGTGAAGGAAATAAAAATATTTTATACCAAAATGTATCTCTTTGAAATGGCCTTGCAAAATCGTCTTTCATGGGGGACATTTGCATCTGTGTAGAATCTCCATTAATACAGCTAAGGCTTTCACAGATCTCAGAGAGATTAAGAGTCTAACACCCTTTCAGGCCTAAAAAGAAATATTTACTATGTATTCTTTCTGAAGGCTGATGCCTGGAATTTTCAGCTACACAAAAGGAATTTTGGCTTTCAAAAACTCCCATAAATTAACTGAATAATTTCTTTCTACTGACTTTAGGACTTTAGACAAAGCTTAACTTTTTCAATCAATTGACAATTAGAAAATCTTTGAATCCACCTATGACCTGTAAGCCCCTACTTGAAGATATACTTCCTCTTTAGGCTGAACCAATGTGTATCTTGCACCTATTGAGTTATGTCTTTGCTTGTAATTTCTACCTCCCTAAAATGTATAAAACCAACCTGTAACCCCACCACCTAGGGCACACTTTCCCAGAAGCCTTTGAGACTCATCCCTGGGCTATGATTTTTCTTATTGTCTCAGAATTAACCTCTTTAAATATTTTACAGAGTTTGTTCTTTTCAACAACAAGCAGAAATTAAGTATAGATGTAATAAATGATAGCTTTTAAAATTTCCCAATTAGATAAGGTGGGATAAAATGTATAATAGTATACTATTCAGGATAAAATGTATAATAGTCTTTTCTCTTTCTGTGGTGTTGACACAGCCTATTGCTGTACGTGTATTAGTAGAAATGAGCAAGCAAATTTTGTTCATTTTTTAAGGAACAAAAATAAATTCAGTTTACATTGGTCTTTCATCCAGAGGCTTTTTTTTAAGTGTTAAACTGACTTCCATCTCTTATGGTGTGCATTCAATAACAGCTAGGGCTTTAAACACTTTGTTTAGAAACACCACCATGGTGAGAAAGCAGTAGGTGAGGCTGATTATTATGAGTTATATTTGGAAGGTTGATTTCCAAAGCAACACACATTGCATTAATGTAAGTCCTCTTATTCACTTCAAATGCATGTGGAGAGTGGCAGCATTATTTTTGTTACACAATCAAACCTAAATAACACTAGCATTCTTGTTGTTGAATTTTTTTACCACTTTATAGATGTCATTGGAATATGAATGCTATAATTAAGCATGCAATGAATTGCCTAATCATGGAGTAGGCTTTCAGTGAAGTAATTTTCATTTATTTAGATAGAATTTTCAAATTCTGTCCACTTGTTTCAAATCTCATAAGAAAGTATAGATTTGTTCTTGAATTTTTAAATTTCCATTTGCTTTTGTACCCATTAAGCAAATACCTGCAATTTGTTTTCTTTAAAAAAGCTGTTTTTCTAGTGCTGCAAAGAAATTCCAAAATCATATGAACTGTTGCAGTAAAACTCAGATTTTTAGACTTTATTATTAATCTTCTTAGTTTAAGCTTATTGCTTTCAAAGCAAGCTACTGAATAAGAAGGCCTCTGTAGCAAGCAAACACACAAATAAATCTGCTTGGGGTGATAGTTTCTTCAAAACAAATTCTTGATATTTTGTAAACTGATAATTTTCTTTCCATATTTTTGTATTTTTTTAACTATATTAAGAACTTTATTATTCATATTTACTCTAAGTTAGGTGTGTCTATTCTATGATTAAAATTCCTAATGCTACTAAATATGGTTGATGAGGTACTGAGGGATATTCTATTTAGTCAAAGTTTAGTAATGAAAATACAATAATTAACTATTTATAACTATAATATAAAATGTATTTTAAAAGGCCCAAAGCAATTCAGACTTTTTTCACCTGCTGAAGGTAGACTATAGACACTTAAAAATCACAAACTTTTGGTGGAAATTTCAGTTTTGCTTCCAAGGCTAATTATTCTTAGCCAATAATTATTTTTATTGTAATTTAAGAACTTCTTTAGATCCAAAACATTCACTATTCTTTAGCTTACTTGGTAATTATGTGTGAGAATTTTACAATGAATGTTCCTTGTCTTCTGCTCTTTGAGTATATATAAAGGTGTTTCTCATCACGCTACTGAATGGAAGCCAGTTTCTAACTTGCTTTTTTTTTTTTTTTTTGAGACAGAGTCTTGCTCTGTTGCCCAGGCTGGAGTGCAGTGGCACGATCTCGGCTCACTGCAAGCTCCGCCTCCCGGGTTCATGCCATTCTCCTGCCTCAGCCTCCCAAGTAGCTGGGGCTACAGGTGCCCACCACCACGCCCACCTAATTTTTTGTATTTTTATTAGAAATCGGGTTTCACCATGTTAGCCAGGATGGTCTCGATCTCCTGACCTTGTGATCCGCCTGCCTCGGCCTCCCAAAGGGCTGGGATTACAGGCGTGAGCCACCGTGCCCGACCTTAACTTGCATTTTTAAACAGAAATTAATAATTTGATTTTCTTTCCTGAAACGGAGTTTTATAACATTTTCCTTTCATTCATTACAGTGTATGTGGAGTAGGAAATACCTGAATTAAATATGTTCCATAGAAGGAACTACAGATCACTCAAGTTAAAAACATAGGGCAGCAACCAGATGTAACCACTTTTATTCATAAGTCAAATACATGGTCACCTTTTCGAGAACATATTTAAGGAAAGCAAACTCATTGTTAACTAAATATTCAATACATAATACACTAATGAATATAGTTTGAGAGAGTCTATGAGCAGAGCCTAACAAATATTGCCATTTAAAAATAAGGACCCTGGGCCAGGTGCAGTGGCTCATGCCTGTAAGCATTTTGGGAGGCCGAGGCGGGTGAATCATGAGGTCAGGAGATTGAGACCATCCTGGCTAACACGGGGAAACCGCGTCTCTACTAAAAATACAAAAAAAAATTTAGCCGGGCGTGGTGGCGGGCGCCTGTAGTCCCAGCTACTCAGGAGGCTGAGGCAGAATGGCGTGAATCCAGGAGGCAGAGCTTGCAGTGAGCCGAGATCGCGCCATTGCACTCCAGCCTGGGTGACAGAGCGAGACTCCATCTCAAAAAAAAAAAAAAAAAGGACCCTGAAAATATATGGAATCCTGGAAGATTGTGAATGGAAATGGAAGACTCCAGATAGACAAAGCAATCCTGAGCAAAAAGAACAAAGCTGGAGAAATCACACTATCTGACTTCAACATCTACTACAATGCTATGGTAATGAAAACAGCATGGTAGTAGCATAAAAACAGATACACAGGCTGATGGAACAGAATTGAGAACCCCAAAATAAATCCACACATTTGCACCTAACTGTTTTTTGACAAAACTATCAAGAACACACACTGGGAAAAGGAAAGTATTTTCAATAAATGGTACTAGGAAAGCAATATCCACGTGTGGAAGAATGAAACTAGACGCCTATCTCTCAGCGTATATAAAAAGCAACTCTAAGTGGATTAAGATTTAAATGTAGGACTCAAAACTATAAAACTGCTATAAGAAAATACGGTGGAAATGCTTCATGAAATTGGACTGGACAAAGTTTTTTGAGTAAGACTTCAAAAGCACAGGCAACAAAAGCAAATACAGACAAATCAGATTATATCAAATTAAAAATCTTCAGGCTGGGCACGGTGGCTCACGCCTGTAATCCCAGCACTTTGGGAGGTCAAGGCGGGCAGATCATGAGGTCAACAGATCAAGACCATCCTGGCCGACATGGTGAAACCCTGTCTCTACTGAAAATACAAAAATCAGCCTCGTGTGGTGGTGGGCTCCTGTAATCCCAGCTACTCAGGAAGCTGAGGCAGGAGAATCACTTGAACCCAGGAGGCAGCGGTTGCAGTGAGCCGAGGCTGCGGACTACACTCCAGCATGGCAACAGAGCGAGACTGTGTCTCAAAAAAAAAAAAAAAATCTTCAGCATAGCAAAGGAAACATCATTTGTTTTCAGTGATGAGACAGCATGCAGAATGGGAGAAAGTATTTACAAACTATTCATCTGACAAGGTGTTAATATCCAAAATAGAGATCGGGCACAGTGGCTCATACCTGTAATCCCAGCATTTTGGGAGGCCGAGTTGGGTGGATCACCTGAGGTTAGGAGTTCCAGACCAGCCCGGCCAACATGGTGAAACCCCGTCTCTACTAAACATACAAAAAAATTAACCGGGTATGGTGGTGTGTGCCTGTAATCTTAGCTACTTGGGAGGCTGAGGCAAGAGAATCACTTGAACCCGGGAGGTGGAGGTTGCAGTGAGCCGTGATGGCACCACTGGATTCCAGCCTGGGCAACAGAGCTGACTCGGTCTCAAAAAATATAAATAAATAAATAAATATCCAAAATACATAAAGAACTCAAACAACTCTATAGTAAAAACAAGCAAATAACTGAATTAACAAATGGGCAAAAGATGTGAATAGGCATTTTTCTAAGGAAGACAGAAATAGTCACCACAGATATATGTAAAAAATGTTCCCCATCACTAATCATCAGGGAAATGCAAACCAAAAGCACAATGAGATATCATCTTACCAATGTTAGAATGGCTATTATCAAAAGGACAAGAAATAACAAGTACTGGTGAGGATGTGGAGAAAGGGGAACTCATACGCACTGTTGGTGGGAATGGAAATTAGTATAGCCATTAGAGAAAACAGAATCTAAGAGAATCTAAGATCCTCACAAAATTAAAAATAGAACTATCATATGATCCAGCAATCCGATTACTGGGTATACATTCAAAGGAAATAAAATCAGTTATGTTGAGATATCTGCATGCCTACATTTGTTGCAGCACTAATCAAAGCCAAAATTGGAATCTGCCCAAATGCCCTTCTACAAATAAATGGATAACAAATGCAGTATAATACAAAATATACATGCATTGAAAAATCACACTGTCTCCTGTACATAAATATGTTATCACGTTGTAATAAATGGCAATATCTCCTGTTTTATGTGTGTGTGTGTGTGTGTGTGTGTATACACTCATACATTCACATACATATATACACAAACACACAATGGGATACTAGTCAGCCATAAAACAGAATGAAATTACGGCATTTATGGCATCATGAATGAATCTGGGGGACATTATGTTAAGTGAAATAAGCCAGGCACAGAAATACAAACACCTCATCATCTCACTCATAGGTGTAAACTAAAAAATTTGATTTAGTAGAAGAAGAGAGTACAATAGTGGGTTACCAGAGGCTAGGAGGGTAGTGAAGAGGGAGGAATCAGAAAAGGTTAGTCAATGAGAATAAAGTCATAGTTAGACAGAAAAAATAAGTTCTGGTGTTCTATTGCACAGTAGGGTGGTTATGGCTAATAACAATATAGCATATATTTCAAGAAAGTTAGAAAATATATTGTTATTATCACAAAGAAATGATAAATGTTTAAAGTGATGGATGTATTAGTTGTCCTGACTTGATTATTATGCAATGTATACATGCATTGAAACATCACACTGTCCCCTATACATGTCACACTGTACATAAATATGTACAATCATTTTGTGTCAATTATAAATAAAATTTAATTAATAAAAAAGATAAAAATAAAAACAGTTCAACTGAAACAAAGACAGTAGCAATCTGGAAAGATAGAATCCAGATCACACGATAATATTATTATCTGTTTTTGCCACAGGAATTGATAATAGATTTAACTGTATTGTCTTTATGGTTTCTTGGTTTATCTCATTTAATGTTACTATGTATAATAAAATACAAATGGTTCTTGTTTCAGTACACATATTTAGTAATTTAAAACAGTGATTCTCAATACTATCAGGCCCACTTTTAATAACTAATATTTTAAAATGGTTGTCACATATTTAGGTTACAGGCTAAGCTCCCATAATAAAGACAATGCCAAATAAGGTACCTTTAAAAAGACGTCAGTGTATTTCTCTCTGAGGTAAAGGTCTTGGTTTTTAGCCTTATTTGACTAATAAAAATTGTATATATTCTAGGTGTAAAATGTGATGATTCAATATACAAATGCATTGTGTAATGATTACCACAGTCAAATTAACACATCCACACTGCTTATACTTACCATTGTATGTGTGTGTCGGTGTCTGTGGGGAAGACTCTTAACATATGCTATCTTACCAGTTTCAAGTAACAATACAATACTATTAACTATAGTCATCATGCTGTATATTAGATTGCCAGAATTTATTCATATTTTTTTTTTTTTTTTTTTTTGAGACGGAGTCTCGCTCTGTCACTTAGGGTGGAGTGCAGTGGCGCGATCTCGGCTCACTGCAACCTCCGCCTCCCGGGTTCAAACAATTCTCCCTGCCTCAGCCTCCTGAGTAGCTGGTATTACAGGTGCCCGCCACCATGCCCAGCTAATTTTTGTATTTTTTAGTAGAGACGAGTTTTCGCCATGTTAGCCAGGCTGGTCTTGAACTCCTGACCTCAGGTGATCTGCCTGCCTTGGCCTCCCAAAGTGATGGGATTACAGGCATGAGCCACCACGCCTGGCCTTTATTCATCTTATAACTGAAAACGTGTATCCTTTAACTAGCATCTCTCCATTTGCTCCTCCTGCTCAGCCCATGGTACTCTCCTGATTCTACAGTTCAACATTTTTAGATTCCACTGAAAAGTGAAATTATACAGTATTTGTCACTGTGTCTGGTTTATTTCAGTCAACGTAACGGTTTTTAGGCTTATGTATCATGGTGTTTTAGGCTTATGTTATCATGTTGTAATAAATGCCAATATCTCCTCCTGTTTTAAGGTTGGATGATATTCCATTGTGGTGGAATTACACAATCACATTATATCAACCTGCCTTTAATCCCTCCCTCCCTCTTTCCCCTCCCTCCCTCCCGCTTTCTTCTTTCTTTCTTTTTTTCTCTTTCTTTCTTCTTTTTCTTTCTTTCTTCTTTTTTCTTTTTCTTTTCTTTCTTTTTCTTCTCTTTCTCTTTCTTCTTTTTATTTCTCTCTCTCCCTCTCTTTTATACTTAACATATAGGGCCTCACTATGTTGCTCAGGCTGGTCTCAAACTCCTGGGCTCAAGAAATCTCCCCCATCACACTCTCCTGAGCAGCTGGGACTACAAGCTTGTGTCACCCGAGCCAGCTTATATATACCAACTTTTTCTATCCATTCATCTGTTGATGGACACAGATTTTTTTCTTATCTTGGCTTTTGTTAATAATGATGCAATGAACGTGTAGTAAAGACATCTTTTTGAGATACTGATTTCATTTCCTTTGGTTGTATATTCAGAAGTGGGATTATTGGATCATACTGTAGTACTGTTTTTAAATTTTTGAGGAATCTCTGCCTGGATGTTGGTCAGAGTTTTTGCTTTCATTTCGGTATTTAAAAAATTATTTGAAGTTTGGTAAGCTCTGTGGGTTTGTAGACTGAACCATACTCTTAATCAAGTAAAAACAGCTCCCATTACAAATTAATTATATATAATATCACTGTTATTTTTGGTTCTTCTATTTCTTCCCATATTAATTTTTTTCTCGGTTTTTCTGCATTCTAAGGCCTCTCTAACTTCTCCCTTCAAAAGAAGTTTGTTAATTATTCACTGAATTTTATATATTTAGTGGCAGTGAGATGAGACTTGTTTGTTGCTTTTCTATTGGGCAGGTAGTAGTACTTTTTCAATTTTCTGTATATTTATGGATACCTTAGTAGAAAGTTGAAAGGAGGCATACCAGGTCCTGTTTAAGGTTTTGCTGCCTTTTTGACCAGGAAGATGTTATGAAGAATAATAATGCTCATTCTTAATTGAAATACTATAAGAAAGTGATGTCATATAAGTGAGCAAACACAAAATACATCCTCACTTTTCCTCTTGATTAGAGATAATTCATTGAGTACAATTGATGTTTGTATGTTACAATAGTTATTCCTACTTTAGTTTTCCTCCAAGTATTTTTTTTCACTGCAGTAACAATCACTGCATTATCTCTATCTTTTCATCATTCTCTGTTGTAAATGTTCTTATGTTTGGGGACTGGGAAGAGGGAGTTGGTAACTGTTTTTCTCAGTTAATTAGTATAGTCAGGGAAATGTATTTTCTTAGTTTAAAAATACTAGCTAGTTTTTTAACCAGACTTTTAGAAAGAAAACATTAATGAATGGCCATAATTTATTGATTATTTTTGCCAGATCAGTTTGAGCCATATGGTAGATTGAGAACTAATGTTATGATTTTTCAACCGCCAAGAACAAAAAATTAAGCAAAACAAATAACTAAAAGTGTAAAATTTCAACAACAAAAAAATGGATGTTGTAGAGCAAATGGAGTTTTTATAACTTATATAGTTCATCAGAAAAAATCAAGTTTTGCCATAGAACTCTAGAGTGGTTAAGAAACTGAGAAGATGGGATTCGAGGTACTGCCTTCAACAGGAAGATCTTTTGAAACTCAATTTTAAGAAGCAATTTGACATACAGATTCCCTCTTCCAAAGTTTCTGGTGAGGTGATTGCTCATTCTCTATCCCAAGAAAAACAGAACATTATGTTCTTGTGAGGGTGATACAGAGATCTCTGTACTTTCAGATACCAGATACATCTGAAAGCAGGAATGATGCTGTTCCGAAAACAGGCTCAAGTGATGGATTGTACATTAACTATTCAGATACTTCTAATTATCTGTAAGATTCTTCCTCTATCAACCAGTGAGAACACCGGTACCAGGATTATGGCCTCCAGGTACAATTACATATATTCTATATATATAATCTCTATATATTTTATATAATATATATATAACTTATTTCTAGGTTCATAGTGGAAAAAAAAACAGATTCCAAGTGAAAATACTAAGTTTCTACCAGTTCACTTTGAATGGTGTATGAATTGACAAGCTCCACACATGCCATAGAGCCGCCAATAGGAAAATTAAAGAACAAAACAAAACAAAAGCCTTTAAAAAATAAAGATAGAGGTAACAATGATGGAGACAATGGAAGAAATAATATGATAACTAAAATCACCAAAGAAGAAAATATATTAAGACATAAGATAATTTTAAAAAGAAAGAAAGCCAGTTGTGGTGGTGTGTGTCTGTAGTACCAACTACTTGAAAGGCTGAGGAGGGAGGATGGCTTCAGCTTAGGAGTTGGAGGTTGCAGTGCACTTGATCATATTTATGATGAGCCACCACACTCCAGCCTGGGCAACATAGTGAGGCCCTGTCTCCAAACTAAAAATGAATAAATAAAAATAAATTTCAAAAATGATCAACAATCACCCATCAAAATAACAACACATGACACAAAGAAATCAACAAATAGAAAACTGAAGAAACAGCAATGAAAGCCTATCAACCAACAAAAATCAACAAACTTTCCAAGAAGAGTAAATGCTGAAGTTGATGGCTTTCAAGTAGAATTATACACCAGTTTTATGTCAATCAAAAGTAAGTATGAAATACAAAATTAGAACAACATGTACTCAGAAAAAAAAAAAAAACTACTTCCCATTTTGTCTTACTCAGGGAGCTAAAGATGTAACTTGTAAACCCAACAGATAAAATGAGATACAGGAGATTACAGGAGATCTAGAAAACTTGGGGTCCAAAAAGGGGAAAAGATATTGGTAGAAGGAATTTCAGGAAAATAGCAATTCAGCAATCACAAAACAAAACTACTTGAAATTGGAGGAGAAGAAGAGAGATCTACAGGTGGTATGCCTTTAAAAATACAAATCAATAAAAGAGGAAAAAAAGAGAAACAGAAATATTGATTTCAGTGCTTCAAAATGCTGAAACAAAGTTGTGCTACACAGAAAACTAACCAAAAATGTAATAATTACTTTAAAAAGAGGAAATATATAAGCTATAAATATTTTCTAATCTTAATGATCTTCATGATATAAATGCTTAGTATTCATTTAGAAATTATGTGATGAATTTATATTTCAGGTATAAAGCAGAAAAATTTTGTGTGGGATGACAAGTTGTTGTTTATTATAATCTTCCTGATTAGAAAATGATATATATAATATATAAACTTGGGAAATCAATAATAACATAGATATATCATTTAGAAATACATATTAATAATTTTTTCAGAAGAAAAAAGTAAAAATAAGAATTAAAGATATGGAGGACTGTAGTTTTAGTTGATTTTTTTAAATTTTAAATATTTTAGTGCTATCTGTTTTTCTTAAATGTGTACATGTATTAATTGTAAAGACAATTTTAAATACAAGGTCTCTTTAAGTAGATTTAATTTGTGACACTACAGGTAAGAATCAGAAATTATCACATAATTCAATGATTAGTTAATGATAATGGAAAATATGTGTAAATGAAAACTTGTGCAAATACATCAGCACAAATATAAATATACACATAGGTACACCATTTCTTTTTTTAAATTTTTTGTTGTTGTTATTGAGATGGAGTCTCACTCCTGTAGTGCAGACTGGAGTGCAGTGGCATGATCTCGGCTCACTGCAACCTCCACCTCCCAGGTTCAAGCAGTTCTCCTTCCTCAGCCTCCCGAGTAGCTGGCATTACAGGTGTGTGCCACCACGACTGGCTAATTTTTGTATTTTTAGTAGAGACAGGGTTTCTCCATGTTGGCCAGGCTGGTCTCGAACTTCTGACCTCAGGTGATCCACCCGCCTCAGCCTCCCAAAGTGCTAGGATTACAGGCGTGAGCCACTGTGCCCGGCCAAGGTACACCATTTCTTTAAAAATACAAAATTTTAAAGCCAAGTAGGGAAACATAAACTGGTAATCTACAGGACAAAAATCAACTACCAAATATGTTTTGTTTTCTCAAAACATTTTAAATAAATTTGAATTGAGATATTCACTTCACTCATTCTGTTAATTACACTCTCCCACTCACTGGTATTTAGTCCCTAGAGACATTTGAATATATAATGCTATGACTTATAAAGGCGTATTTTTAAAATAATTGTGCTTTATTTTCACATTTACTAGCTTATTTTCTGTATGATATTTTAGAAGTTATTGAAATGGCTTAAAATCAATATGCATCATAGTAAAATATTTAACTTAAAACTACAGAGAACTCCCAGTATTGGGGGAATCTGTGGTTAACTTAATCAACATTGTGAAGTTTAAATAAGAGATTTTAGGATGTTACATTACTTTATTTGAGCTTTAAAAAAAATAGGAAAAGAAGAATTCAAATTCTGAAAGCTGAAAATTTTTGCAATATTGCAATTAATACAATATTGTTGATTCTCTAGCATAGGCAATTTCAGTTAAAAGAAAATTTAAGAATAACTAAAAATGTGTATCATCAATAATTTATTTTGCTATATTTATCTCTACCAAGTATTTTATTACTAAAAATACCACCACCATTTTTTATAGTTGTATATATAATAAATACATGCCTATTTCCTCAAGTTTATAAAACATTATGTTATAAGCCTCCCTGATAGGTAAAGCCTAATTAATTTAACCATGGTCTGCTTGATAATTTTATATGTGAAAAAAATGTTATTTGCAGGATTTTTATAGCCCCAGGTAAAAGCCTCTCATATACATATGTTGATTTAATGCCCTGGTCATTGTTTTAAGATGTTTTTGTAACTTTTAAAGGAGCTTTCTATAGGCATTGCCTGATAATTCAATTCAAGTAAATGTGTATTACTATATATCAGGAACAAATAATTTGAGAGCAATTATTAACAGTATCTTTCATTCTGCTATAGACGTAAGTTTGCAATATACTTGCTTATTCATTAATACAACCAGATCATTTCAGATTTATTGTGACTCTACTCTAATGTGGCACCTTGGGGATTCTGGGGATTTACATTAAATATGATGCCATCCCTTTGTCTTATGATTTCACTGTCAAATAGGAAGTCAGATAAAAAATTACAAATGTGCCATATAGTAGAATATGTATGTTACAACCAAATATTGAGTATGAACCAAGTGCTCTGTAATTACCATACAGCATAGAAGAAAGAGTAAAAAATATGCCTTACGTTGTTAAAAAGGATTCATAGGAAAGGAGTTATTTTGATTCTTATGTGCCAGGTAAGTATCATCAGGTTACAATATAATGCATTTTTTATGTAATATGGTGGTAGGCCATGGCCTGATCATCCTCTCAGAAGATTTCCTATTGCTTCTAAACCCTTATGTTATGATTTATTAGACACTTGGGTACTGTGAACATTTCAATATCCAGGACCTGGTTTATTTTTCCAGTGATATGAAGAAAAAATGATTTTTTAAAAAATGTAACACACTAACAACATGATCTCTTGGTTGGTAAGAGAGAAAGTATCCTGTGAAGAGATACGGGTGCTCTCCTGATTTCTGTCCCACATGATTATGAACATTGATCAGGAGCACAGTTATGAGAGGAATGTAGGCCTCTGGGGAAGCCTGTATGCTCTATGATCTATATTTTCCCTTTGCTCTAAATTGTTGAAATATTTCTTTTGCCCAAGATAAACACACACCTGCTCACTTTAATGAAAAGAGGTTTATTTTACTTCTGCTGAATTAATAACTTTCAAGTCTACTAGGAATCCCCAAATTGACAAAATAATACAGCCTATATGAATTAGCTACATGGTTTAAGGAATAAAAATTAGAATCTAGGAAAGTAGAATGGTAAGGATAAGCCATACACACCCTCCCCTTTTACTAGGATGTGTGGTATGGCAGATGTATTTTCCAAGATGATCTCAACAAGATCTCCCATGCCAAATGCTCTACGTAAAACATGGTGTTAAAGTGGGATCTGTGTTTCCTACTTGTGAATTTCAGGGGGTCTGTGATTAAGTAAGACATGGTGTTGTCTGATTTCTGAGGTTAAGTGATAAAGGTGATATAACCTTCTCTGATCCTTTTGAGATGCTTGCTCTTGAACCTTATCAATGTGCTATGAAGAAGGAGAGAGAACACAAAGTGAGGTCACCTATAGGTTAGAAACTGGAGGACAGCCAGAATCAACTTCCAAATGCACTAGCACACAAGCCATCAGTTGTGTGATGCCCAAGATAGCAGCCGCTAGGCACATATGACTATTTAAATTTAAATTGAATTGAAAATAAAGTAATGTGTTGCTAGTCACATGTCCAATAGCCTTATGTAGCTAGGGCTACTAAATTGGGCCATGTAGATATAGAATATTTCTGTCATCATAGAAAGTTTCACTGGAAAGCACTGCTTCAGATGGTTCTAGTCCCAGCCATGGAGTCCCTTCACACCTTCAATACTCCCAGCTGAGTCGCAGATATCATGGGATGAGAAAAGTTACCTCTAATGTGCCCTTTCCAACTCCTAACCTATAGAATCTATGAGTATAATAAATAGCTGTTTTAGAGGCATTAATTCTGGGGTGGTTTTATGTAGTATTAGGTAACTCAAACAGATTTTGAAAACTGGAACTGGGATGCTGCCATAACAAAAACCTAAAACATGAGACACTGAGTTTGACATCAAGTTACACATGGAAACTGAAAGGGCATTTGGGAGACTTTTAATAAAAACTTAAAGGTTTCTCAGAGGCTTAAAGAACCTCAAGCAGGTTGTGATTAAGTGGTCAAAGAAACTAGGGGAATATTGTTGCAAACTAGAGTAAAAGGGACACTTTTAATGTAGTGGCAGAAAGTTTGGTAATAGTGTCACCTCCAGTAATGTGGAAAGTAGGAACAAGAATTAATGAACCTGATGATCTAGTGGAGATTTCCAGTTAGAATATTAAAAGTGCCATCTTGCTGCTTCTAGTCTTCCAGGTGCCTATGATAAAATCCTATAGGATAGATATAAGCTTAAAACAGAATGGTTAAGTATAAAGGAGCCAAAGTTTGCTGAGTTTGAAAATAAAACTCATTGTTATTCCCAGCCTCTACAGCCAGCAGGAAATTCTCAAAATAAGAAAAGATCTCAGAGCAGAGATCAAGCCTATGCGCTTTTAGGAAAACACGATCTAAAGATGAAGCCAAGGGCATGACTGTGAAACTCTTTGTTAAGGCTTCAGAAAGATCGAAGGCTGTGCCTCATAGACCTTACACATAAAAGGTCCTCTAAAAAGCTTAGGAGCATGCCTCACAGATATTCTCCTTAAACAATAGGGCTTCTTAGACTCTTAAGGGTTTTCAGCTACAGCTTCACAGCGAGTGTGGTGTTGAGGAAGTCCTGTCTTGCAGAGATCTATGGTTGTTATCTTTTTTCCTAATGCAGTAAAGATTCATAAAGGACCCACAAGCTTTCTTTTTAAAGAAAACTGTACTGATAGAAGCATGATCAGCTTGGATTAAAAGAGACAGAGACAGTACAAAGTGAAAAGAGACCTTTGGATGCCAAATTTCTTATGAATAGATTGAAAAGGCAACTTCTTCGTAGTTTTATTAAATAATAGGATGATTCAAAAAGTAGAACCAATAACGTAAAAAGCAGAAGTAAGAAAGAATCATTCACAGGTCCTGAGTCAAGAAATTGGAAATATGTATGTGTATTACTCACTTCAGAACTTCAATGGGTCAGAGAATGCTTGATGCCTCTGGCTTCTGTCCTTTTGAATGTCAGTGTATAATGGGTATGTAGGGAGCAGATAACTTGTCTCTCTAATCCTGGGGTCATAGTGTCAAGAGGAAGTGTTTTTGAGCAGTTATACCAGAGAACACACTGAAGGAGTCTTATTTATACCTGGACTTGATAAAAATGACAAAATTCTGAAACTCAACCCTGAGACAAGTACTTTAAAAGAATGAGACTTTTGGGGGAATACAGTAGCCTTCCCTTATCCATGAGAGATACATTCCAAGCCCCTAGTGGATACTTGAAACCACAGATGTTACCAAACACTGTGCATATTATGTTTATTTCTAGATATGCGTACCTATAATAAAATGTAATTTATAAATTAGGCACAGTATGAGATTAACAATAACTAATGATAAAAAAGAACAATTATAATAATAAATTATAATCAAAGTCATGTGAATGTGGTTTCTCTCTCTCCCTCTCTCTCTCTCTCTGAAAATATCTTATAATACTATACTCACCTATATTCTAACCACAGTGGACCATGGATAAATGATACCTCAGAAAGTGAAACTATGGCTGAATAAAGAGGACTAGTGTATTGTCATTGGATTAGTGTATTTAGTATGTAAGAGGAATATAAATAATATGTTACTAGAGTAAGCACTTCACCAGTTATAGCACATGGACTCAATATTTTCTGTCATTCCTCCTCCCTCTCCCCTGGAAGCCAGGCTCTACAATTATTGGACCAGTGGGAAACACAGTGATACACTGCCATTTTCTGGGTCTAGGCTTTAAGAAACTGGCAGCTTCCATTTACTGTATCTTCAGATGTTTGTCCTTTGAGCCTAGCCACCATGCTGTTAGGAGAGGTTGTGTATACATGTTCTGGCTGATGGCCCTAGGTGAGGTCCCAGCTGATAATCAATCCTGACCTCCAGAACCTGAGCAAGGCTTGAGATCAACTCCAACCTCCAATCTCCAAACTACCTCTTATGACACTATTTTGAGCAGGAGGTATGATGCATTCACTGAGCTCTGCCTGAACTGCATATTTCTTAGCAATTTAATGATTATTATTGTTTATAGCAGTAAGTTTGGGACAGTTGTTGTACAGCAATAAATAACTGAAATCTACCATATAGAGCCCTAAGGAGCTCAGTGATGCCAACATTATGTGTTAAATGCTCAATATCCTTTTAGTGGGATAAAGCAGTATGTGAGGTTGAGTCAAATGAGATTTCCATTAAGTAAAAAAAGGGAAGTAAAAGGTAACAATATAAAATATCCTAAAGTTTGTTCTTACCTATGAGAGAAATTAGAGGAGGAAAGCTGTCTACTGAAGAGAAGATGCATTTTTTTCCAACAAGGAACAGAAAAGGCAGAACTGATCTGGCAGAGGATTTCAGTATTCCAGAAATATTTTGTTCCATTTAGTTGTAAAGGAAAATAACCCACCTTTAACAGAAATTAGAAGGAAGAAAGATAATTGCTCCTACAGAGATTAAAAAATTGTCTACTACATTGACAGAGAGGTAAGTCTAGGTTCATCTTCAGAGGTGAAAACTATATCCAACCCTTCTCCTGCAGGGAATATTTGTAGGACCTTCCATGGCCAGGCAGCTAGTTAGACTGATAATAATGTAATAGTCTACTTGCAAAAGTAGTGAGCCAACTCCAGTAGTTGCTCCATTGGAATTCAACATAACTCCTTGATATATTGATGTGACAAAACAGAACAGAGGACATAGGCTTGCTAAGTACAAAACTCTTAAAGCAGTAATGGTGTCCAGGAACCTGGTTTTTTTTCAAATCCAATTGACATTTCCCCCATTCTCCTTATACTTTAAGGCATCAACACATTATACATAAAGCATTAAGGATGATTTCCCAACACATCTCATGATCAAATGTATCTTGAGATGTGTTGAAGTTGGCTGAGGACACTCATGAGATAACTCAGTTAACACCAGCATGCCCACCCTCCATATCAGTTGTTTTATTTCTAACTAATACAACGATCATCTAGGAGTCACTAACCAAATGTCTTGCACTTTTGTGCCCCATATCAGGCTTCTCTTGAAATCTTCAGAAACAATAAGGGAATTGAGTGTTGATTTAATTAGTAATAGAAAAAGACGGAGGCTGAGGCAGGAGAATTGCTTGAACCCGGTGGGGCAGAGGCTGCAGTGGGTCAAGGTCATGCCACTGCACTCCAGCCTGGGTGACAGAGACTCCATCTCAAAAAAAAAAAAAAAAAAAGAACATGCTCTGAAAGTTCAGTCTGGAGTAGGTAGAGTTTCATCTCACACTTCCATGATAGCAACATGGTAAAGAAAAGCATTATTTAAAATAAAAACAAAAACATTTTATCTTTTAGACAAAATAAGAAAATTACAATGAGAATGTAAGAAAGTGTCACATTTCCGCTTATACTTTAATTCATGGAGAGCTCACAAAAATATTTTACTTCAATTATTTATATCTGATTCTCCCTCCATTATAACTGTGTGGATCCTAATCTTTTTTTAGACTCAACATATTTAATCACTCTTTAGTTACTTTAATTCCTTGCCTCTCCTTTTGCCACTTGACCACCTGTTCTTGGGAGGGACCTCAGTCTGAAAGAAAATGGGATCCAAGATCCAGAGGAAATGACTAGTCTCAGAAAGGAGAGAGCCAATGTCTTCCTTTTAGCTATATGAAAGGAAAGAAAGAACAGTGTGAAAACAACATCCACACTGTGAATTCCAGGGAGGAAAGACATAATAAAAACAAACGAGAAAATATATAGAATGCCAGATGATTACTATGAAGGAAAACAAAGCAGGGTAAGAGGAATGAAGAGTGATGGGGCTGAGTATATACAGTGGTCATTGTTACTGTAAGCAGTCAGGAAAAGTCTCTCTGAGAAGGTGACCTAAGAGAGAGATCTGAAGAGATTTACAAATGTAGCTACGTGAAACAAGTGCATTTTAAGTAGAGGGTCCAAGGCAAGAGCAGGCTCATGTTTTGTCAAATCAGCATCACTCAACATCTGGCACTTAGTGATAGGTGCATAATGAATAAGTTTTGAAGAGATGAGTAATTAGAATCCTTTTAAGATTAACAAAATACCTACTCATAGAAATGTCTTATATTTCCAGTTTAAAAATGTATCTAAATGATTTCCATAGTTTATATATCCTATAATTTTTCAGCAAATTTTCACTCTCAGTTTTGGATCTCACTTTATTTTCAAGTTTTATCTTTTGAGTTTTATCTACATCCTTAACTCTTAAGAAAATGTCCAAATAGGGCCAAAGCATATTGCTATAGTCAAGCATTATATATTTACTACCTAGATGTTTAAAGTTAGGTTTATAGTGGTTAATTACATTGATGTGTCCCTTTGAAAGCTATCTTTGCCCAGGAAACGTAGGTTCATGGTTAATTGAATCATTTTAAGGAAGCCCTCATGGTGCATGTGATACAAAGTCAGAGGATATGTGTGAATTTAGTTAAACCTATCCGGAGGGACAGCAAATGTCACATAATGTCACTTCTGCCACAACAAATTCTGTGTGATTTAGATGGAAGTGCCCTAATGAGGGGAATAAAGCAACTCTTGCAGTCTTAGGAAAGTGGAGTTGCTGTATATTCATATCTACTTCTCTATCCTCACTTAGTGCATACTGCTAACCATGGTTAGTTTTAAATGCAGCCCTATTTAATACATCACACAAAAACCTGAATAATATGACCCCTAGCTCTACATTACTTTCTTATCTTTTGCTTTACTCAGTCACATCCATTCTTCGTCTTCATCATGCTGATTATAGTTCCCAAATTTATGAGGCCATTGCATGCCTCTAAGCTTATAGGTTTTTTTGCACACAGCCTACTGTAAAGAGCCCCTCTCCATTACAATTAACTTTGTAAGACTGCATTGAAGGTTAATTTCAAAGCTCTATTGCCCAATGTAAAGTTGACTACTTCCTGTTTTGTACCTTTATAGCACCAAATACGGACTTCTAGTATTGACCCTATGTAATAGTATTTTGTTGCATATTATTATTTCTTCAATTCACCCTTTTTATCTGTCTCTCCCTGCTGGACTAGGACCCTGTGAGAGGTAGGCCTTCA
Source organism: Homo sapiens (assembly GCF_000001405.40). NCBI lineage: Eukaryota > Metazoa > Chordata > Mammalia > Primates > Hominidae > Homo > Homo sapiens. Next base: position 98,569,072 of record NC_000011.10, on the reverse strand, counting down.
TTTTATTTATCTTCAAACCCCTAGCACTAATGGAGTATCTGATGGATGGTAGATATTTATGAATATTTTTGGTGAATATTTTGATCAATGAAGTCATACACTTAACAATAGCTATCAATATTGAGGAGCTATAAATAAATTCTAATTTTCACAAAACTCAGTAAGGTATGTAATACAACCTCTGCTTTACAATGAGAAAAATAAGTCTTACTGATTCGTTGATTTAATCCATATCAGAGTTAATAACCTCTTTTTCATTAAAATTGGTCCTTTAGAAACACACCTGCAGCTGGGCACGGTGGCTCACACCTGTAATCCCAGCACTTTGGGAGGCCGAGACGGGCGGATCACCTGAGGTCAGGAGTTCAAGACCAGCCTGACCAACATGGTGAAACCCCGTCTCTACTAAAAAAAATACAAAAATTAGCCAAGCATGGTGGCGCATGCCTGTACTCCCAGCTACTTGGGAGGCTGAGGCAGGCGAATGGCTTGAACCCAGGAGATGGAGGTTGCAGCGAGCTGGGATCGTGCCATTGTACTCCAGCCTGGGCAACAAGAGCAAAAACTCCATATCAAAAAAAAAATAAATAAATAAAAATAAATAAATAAATAAATAAATAAACACACCTGCAAGCAACCCCAATATTTCAACAGCTATACCTGTGGATAACTACTCTCTCACATTTCCTCCAACTCTTTATTTCACTCTTCAATTTCTTCTCTTTCTGTGCTAACACCCCTTTGTTTTAATCTCCTTTACTTGATTATTTCAAAGTCTCAGATTTCAGCAATGTATTACTAATGCTTCAGTCTTGGCATCACTTTCTGGTTCAATATTCCACCAGCTGTCTCCTATTTCTGATCGTATGCTCTCTTGCACAAGGCTGAGTCTTGCAGGCAGTCTGGATATCATGTTACAACAGCATACTGATAATACCCTTCTTATTTGGTAACGTTCAAGAAAACCATACTTACTTTTCTATGGCAATCATCTTTCAAGACTTTTATCAGTTTTTTTTTTTCATTTCCTGCACTTCAGTTAAAATCCTACTCCTTAGCCAAAAAAAAAAGTAGTATGTTTTTATATGTTATTACCTAGTACATTTGTAATATTACAGCACAGATGATTTATTTGATGGCATCTTCTTCCAGATACTATCTGTTATCCTATATTTTTATTTCTCTTTTGATTATTTTGTGAGGTATTACTCTACCTCAACTTCAATTTTTCTTGATTCCAAAGTCATTTTAGAATATTATATTGCCATTGCTTTTTGTCACACTAAGTCAAATTAAGGAATCTTCAATATATGGATATTTACTTGAAAGAGTCTCATAGCAAAGTTTCCAAAATGTGTTCTCAGTGATACAAAACTCTATTTCTAAAGCAATATCTAAGTGCCTATGTTTTATATCACAAATTTTATAGGGTATTGATAACAACTCAAGTGCAATAACTCTAACAAGAACTATCTTGTTTTTAAGCAAAACAACATATATTTTTAAGCATACCAATATATAAAACTGCAGATACGTTTCAGTTGCATATAAGTCACTGACAGTATAGGTGGCTGTGGGTCACCCAGATACGAATTAAATTATGTGCTTTAATACTATCGGAACAACTGGCACCGCCATCTTTTTTCCCCCAACCGGCTGAATAGAATGCCACTGCGCTGTGTTGGCCTTAGCTGGGCACCCGACCCTTAAAGCTTACATGGTTAGCCCAGCGCTGTTGAGTGTCCCTGGCAACAAAGAGAGAAAGGCACTGAGGTGGCCAAGAGTGATTTCCACAGCCATTATAGCCGCTCCTGTCCGGTACTCTGCAATGGGCGCAGCCGTGTGACCTCGCAGAGCGGCGCCCGCAGTCGAACTCGCGATCCCGGACTAGCTCTGTGGTCCACGCCTCACTCCATCATCGTCACCGCTCAGCGTCCCGTAGGCCGCGCAGGAGTGCATCTGAATAGGAAGCGGTTTCGGACATGGATGCCATGTTTTGTCACTGCCAGTAGTGTCTGGAGAGATTCGGGTGCAGCCCTCAGGTCCTGGCTCCCAAAAGCAAGATAACTCAAGTGAAGCAATGACGGAAGAAGAAGGAGGTTGCTGGCCTTGGATATCATCATTTTCTGGGGACAACTTTACGTGGACACTAATATTTCTGACTAGGAAAAGTTCATGGAAAATGCAGAAGAGACAAAGATGTATAGTCTATGTTATCCACTATTTTCTGACCACAAAAGAAAATGATCAAGACCCAGAATCACTGACCCTGGAGGATGTGGCTGTTGAATTCAGCCGGGAGGAGTGGCAGCTCCTGGAACACTGCTCAGAAGGACCTGTACCAGGATGTGATGGTGGAGAACTCTAACCACCTGGTATCACTGGGGTATCAAACTAGCAAACCAGATGCACTCTCCAAGTTGGCGCATGGATGGGAACCATTGAAAACAGATGCTAAAGTCCAGAATAAAAATTGTCCAGGAATCAGGAAAGTTGACAGTCATCTGCAAGAGCACTCTCCAAACCAGTGATTTCTGAAGAGCATGCAGCAATGCAGTGGACAGAATGCATTTAGAAATATTGTACATCTCAGCAAGACACATTTTTCTCTAGTGCAAAATCATAATACATTTGACTTGTACAGAAAAACATTGAAATCAATTTTAAGTTTAATCAACCAGAAGAGAAGACATGGAATAAATAACCTTGTGGAGTTTATTGGAGGTGAGAAAACCCTTCTACATGATAAGCATGAACATACGAATACTAAAACTAGATTTTCTGAAAATGCAAATGGATCCATACTAAATTCCAAGTCTTTAAGCATCAGAGGACTCAGAAAATTGAGAAACTCCATGCATTCATTGAATGTGAGCAAACCTTCCTCTGAAGTCTCAGCTCATTTACCACGAGAACATTCACATAGAAGAGAATCCTGGAGGTGGTCAATGTGAGAAATTGTCCAGAAGTGTCCTGTTCACTAAGCATCTGAAAACTAATATAGGGGACAAAATCTGTATACCCAATCAATATAGAACAGGCTCTACTGTGAAGAGTATTCTCATTGCACATCAACAAACTTATACAGAAGAGAAATCCTATATGTACTGTGAGTGTGGAAAGGGCTTTACAATGAAGCGCTATCTAATTGCTCATCAGCGAACTTGTAGTGGAGAGAAACCTTATGTGTGCAATGAATGTGGAAAAGGTTTCACTGTGAAGATCAATCTCATTGTACATCAGTGAATTCATACAGGGGGAGAAACCCTATATATTCAGTGAATGTAGAAAAGGCTTCACCCAGAAGCGCTACCTTGTTGTACATCAGCAAACTCATACTGGAGAGAGACCCCATATATGCAGTGAATGTGGAAAAGGCTTTACTGTGAAGAGCAATCTCATTGTACATCAGTGCTCCCGTACAGGAGAAAAATCTTATATATGCAGCTAATGTGGAAAAGCCTTCACTGTCAAACGCACTCGCATTATACATCAGTGAACTCATACAGGAGAGAAATCTTACATATGCAATTAATGTGGTAAAGGTTTCACCACAAAGTGCACTCTTATTATACATCACCGAACTCACACAGGAGAAAAACCTTATGAATGCAATGACGTGGTAAAGCCTTCAGCCAGAAAATATGGCTCATACAATGTGAGAGATGTCATACAGGAAAGAATCCCTTTGTATGTACTGAGTGTGGAAAATCCTATTCACACAAATATAGTCTCATTACCCATCAGAGAATTCACACAGGAGAGAAACCTTATGAGTGCAATGAATGTGGAAAAGCCTTCACCACAAAGTCAGTACTCAATGTACATCAAAGAACGCATACAGGAGAGAGGCCCTATGGATGCAGTGATTGTGAGAAAGGCTTCTTCCACTCATCAAACCTTGTCAAATATAAGAAGATGCACACAAGAGAAAGGGGTAGAATCAGTCAAGTTGAAAATTCCTGTAATGGAGAGTCACAGCTCCTTCCTTACAAGTGAACTCATGCAGAATGAAAACCCTACTAGTGCGGCGACTGTGGAAATGCCTTTTGTGGCAACTCAAACATCAGTGTGTTTCTAGCAAATCGGAACATAAACATGGTGCTGCCTGTTGTCAGATGTGTGCCCTCAGGAGGTAAAATAATTTGCCCTAGAGATAAACTTGATGAATACAGTAAATAAGGTAGTGCCTTTAGTGGTCTTTTACCTCACATTTTCTGTCAATGAAAACATGTTGAATAAACTATAATATATTCATGTGAAAAAAATAAACTATTGAAGTCTAAGAAGTAAGTCAATTGTAGACTCAAGTGTCACTTGTTCTTAATGAATCCAAATAACAGAGCAAGTGCCCAGTTAGCATCCTTATGAAGCTAGTAGTCCAATAAATTGTCAGGCAGGGCACAGCAGTCAGGTGAAAGGGCAACTGTGTTCTTAGCATTTAGGAGAAGTCTCAGAAAAGACGTTTTGTGACAGATACACACTTTGAAAAGCGTTGTTTGCTTTTGCATTTAGCTGTACTATACATAGTTGGCTTTTTCGTTGTTGTTGTTGTTAAAGGCAGCCCTTTTCCAGTCTCTGACTAGTTTGTCATAGACAGAATTATCTGACAAGGACATCTACTCTGAATGGTCTGAAAAACCTAGATAAGGACTTTGAAGCCCTAATTATTCTGAGCTAGTCCTCTAGCCTCTGGAATCCTGCTGAAGGATATTATAAACCATTAAGTGGTAGATGACAGTATTTGTGTGGCCATGTGTTGTGTGTATTGTGTGTGTTTTCCTTTGTCCTTATTTTCTACAGGGGTGCTGATTATAAGAATTTAGAGGTTTTCCCTTTAATCAAACAACATTTTATAGATATCCTTGACAAATTTTTTTTCAGAAAAACAAATTTTTACCAAATTTTAATACACATGCGGTTTATGTAGAGCATGCATTATGAAGAAGATCAGAACTTTTTTGACACTGTATAGAAAAGTTAAATTAATTATTCACTCAGTACTTTCCAATTAGTTATTTTAAATTGTGGAGACAGAATTTATGAGTATAAAATGAATTTTCAGATTTTTGAATAAAATATTTCTTGAAAAATTATTACAGTTAGTAAACATTAATCTACCACTGTAAACATAATTTTAGGTATTAAAGAGAAATATAAAAGCATAACTCTGACAGTTTATAAAGAAAGAAATAGTTTCCAGTTCATCAGTTTATTTCTTACTACTGTTCTCTGTGAAGTGATATATCAATGGAATCATTTTACAGAAGCAAACTATTCAAAAACAACTACATGCTGAGGTTTCATATCTTTGCAAATAAAAACTAATTTATGAATCAACTCATTTTTATGGAAAGTCTATTTTTTGCCAAGTATTTTCCACAGGCATATACAAGATTGACCTGGTCACTGCCCTCATGGAAACCCAGATAATTAAATGAGATGTAAAGAGTACTACTATGGAGCTTTTCATAATGCCCCCAAACAGGTACTGAACTTATTCTATAGTGTTACAGTAAGATTCTCAGGAAAACAGTTTTATTTTATTTTTATTATGTTTGGTTATTATTGTTTTATTAGGTTTGGTTATTATTTTATCCCAACCCCATCCCAGTATATGATAAATAAAAGTAATAGCAGCAAAAGAATAAAAGGTATAGAAGAAGTGAAAGACAATATGAATGTTCTAGATAGAGACCAGTGTAGAAAAAAATAAAACAAAAATGGATATTTAAAACATTATAAGTAGTAATACATGACAGCAACTTATCATGAGAAGCAAAGTGTGAGGTAGTGATTACCTCACAGTAGGTACTCACCAAAGATGTGCTGCTGTCCTTCAAGTCCTGGTGATGTAGCCTGAGAAGTTAAAGACATGAGTTTTGAGACAAAAATAAGTCAGACCGTCAAAGATATTCCAAACCATATGTCTTAGTCAAAATAGATAGATAGACTGTACTAAAATAATGTATAAAACCCCAATTCTTAAAAGATTAACACACTAAAAATGTATCTCTCACATACACCTGACCCCCACATACCTCAGAGTGCCCTTCCTTCTTATACCTATGCCATCTGGAATACAGGGCTTCAAGGTAGCCACAGAAGAGAAAGGAAGTTGGATTGTTGTGAAGTGTTTAAGTAGCCAAGCCTAGAAGTTGCTTGCCTTAGTTTCACAGCTTCTGTCCACCTTCCAGTCGTCAACACACTATTACTTCACTTGCTCCAGATATTATTGCAAGAGAGGATTGGGAATGTATTCTCTATGCCCCAAAAGATGTTGTGTGAACACCAAGCATTGTCTGCACCAAATCATATTAAGTCTAAATGTTGCTATTAATAAAGTTGATGAATTATGTGCATTTATAATGAGACTAGCATGGTGAGGAATGGAAAATGCAGTCTAAACACTAGAGAAACTCTTTTTGGTATGATCCTCCACATAGAGTTTAATCACTCCATTTAGGAGTCTCTTGCTATAAGAATAATGTAGTAAAAGCATTTATAAGTAATTTTTAGAATAATTAAAGTGATGTGAAGATGTTTATATGAGGACTAATGAAAAGCTTGAAATGATCAAATTAACAGAAGTATTAATCTGAAAATATTTCTGGTACTAATAATTTCTTAGAACAGTTTTCAAGGAAAAAATGGGCATTATTGCAATAAGCATAAATGATATGTTTTATGAATCAGCCTCAGTATTTCATAGTAAAACTGTTTATCCTTAGCTTTACCTTTGTATATTTCTTTTTGTACATTTGTACATTTCTTTTTCAAAAGATACTGTAAAGTTTTCTACAGGAAGCAAATAAATTTTTAAATCAAGCTTATATAGTTTAATGTAACTAATACCAAACAATATTTTTATGCTTACTAATGATTTTTCTTAACTGGACATATATTGACACTGAATAAGGATGAATAAGAAGATGTATTTTCACATTTGAGAATGAAATTTATACATAACCACATCAAAGTCTGGCAAGAATGTGAGTGAGTCAGAATTAATATATTCTTCTAGGAGATTGATGACTGTATATAGTTTGGGGAATGTGGTATGAAAATGTATTATTATGTACTTATAGCAATCCTACCCTTCAAAAATCTATCCTATAGAATTAAAAGCATCAGTATGTAAGGCAATATGTATTAGTTTTGCAGTGGCAATGAAAGAATAATAATAATTGACTTTAATAACCATCTCAATAAATTTTATTACACATATACCGTGGAATAGGATACATCTAATAAAGAGAATTTCCTTTTGTCTTTTGCTCCAGAAGGATATTCATTATGATGCAGGATGTTTTTGCTCCTTAGCTCAGCTAAAATATGGGTTCTTGTCTCATGAACAGGAAAAAGTAATCATGTGGACATGTTGAAAGGTGAGGAAAGCGGAATTTATTAAAAGAAAGCTCTCGGCAAAAAAAGAGGGGGTCCTGCCAACAGGCTCCCACTTCAAGATTGAATACCAGGCTGCCACACATGAGCTGAAGAGGCCAGGCTCCTCCCCGCTGCAAAAGGCACAAATTTCCGGTGGTTCCACCCCATTATCCCAGTGAGCAGGCGGGTCCTTAGTTTGAGCCACTCCACATTGCTTTATCTCCCTTAATCTCATGTGTTAAACTACAGAATTTTTCACCATGGGCATGTTTAGGCAAGCCTCCTGTGCACAATCACCTGGGCAGCATTTGGTTGTCTCCTGTCTCTGTCAATAGTTTATAGTGAAACATGAAAAGGGAGTTGCTGGGAACCTAAATAGTAAAATAGACTTTATAAGTAACTTGATACAAATATATCTGTGCATACACATGATTAGAATTGTATATTTATGACATAAGTTGTAGAGGGTGACATTATACTTGACTCTTAATACCTATTAATTTAAAAGCTGAGATTGGGAGTGAAAAAGATAAAATGTAGCAGACCAAAAAAGGTGACAACATTGTAGCAAATAATATTTTATCCAGTGAAAATGCAATACAAGATCCAATCTATCATATTGTCTGAAATATATTAATATGGTTAAGAACAAAACCTGGAATATTACATGTACAAATGAACATTTATTTATTTAGCTGACTGGGAGGTGGGAAGTATATGTCTTGAAATTTTATTGCTTTAATATTTTCAACAATCAAGTGCCATTATTTTCTTTAAAAATAAATACATCAAATATTCATGAAAACAGTTTTACATTACGATGCATGTTTGAAACTTTGTTTGTCTGTGCTTTTTATATACTCTCAGCATGGGAACCTTGTTTTTTAAATACATTCTACTATTGCCCTGAAATATACCAGTATCATGGATTACACCCCACTGTTATTTAATACTAGCTCAGTGGCTACGGTAATGATGAGGAGGGAAAAATTTGACTTTCACAAAACTTTCAAAATTTTGACCCCCTCAACCCCCCATCAAAATCTGTCAAAATTGTTGCCTCCTTCAGGTCCTTTTTTATATTCTGTCAGTAAATATGTCAAAACCCAGTTTTTCTTATTCGTATGAATTTGCTGAAGACATTTCCCCAAGCATCTAGCTCTGAGTTCTGTTAGATAAAAAATCACAGATATGTGAACTCTGAATAAAATACAGCAATTTTAAGTAATATGGTAATTTTTTTAGTGAGAATCTATCACACAAAAACATATACAGAGCAAAAGCTAAGGCTGTTAGGCTATCAAAACCTCTTCCTCTTTTTAGAAGCACTTTCCCCACCTAAATACTTTCACACCAGTGGCATAGTCCCTAAAATATGGGACTTGAAGGAGATACTGACCTTGTGTGCTCCTGGTCAAAGGGACCTTCCTTTTTTGTAAATCTCAGAACTAAAAAATGCAACAATGTCTGTCCCCAGTAATTCACATTACAGAAGGATCATCTGTGCCTACAGGTGCCTGTGAGTTTTCAGCATACTTCAGATAGTGCATTTTCAAAGGCCAGCTGCCTTCTATCAAGGCTTTGAAGAAAGGCTCTCAGAAGCTGCCTGAGAGTAGTTTCCAGAAAATCTGTTAGTTATCAGCCCAAATAAACAATCTGATTTCTCAACTTTTAAGCTGCTAGTTTTCAGAAGCAACTAGTTAATTAACCTATCAAAACATCTGTTAATAAAGTTAGATAAAATAAAATGTACTTAGATGCTTCTAAAAATTGTGCTATTCTGTTTCCAGGGTATGTTTTCAACTCAACAAACAAATTTTGAGCTTGTACAGTGGGAAGGAAATAGCCGAGTCCTTAAAAAGTAAAGGAAAGAATACATTATTGATGAGTGCCCATGGTTTATCACATTAAAGTTTACCTGTAGTGACTTTTCCTACACATTTAAGAGACGTGCTAGGATCATTCCAAGGAATAAATCTAAGTAAATAATGCATTTCCACCTTGTGCTCTGATTTACACAGACGCACACACACATGCAAACATACACACACACAAATCATATACATTGAGTCTTACACACAGATGATTGTTCGAAAGAACAGAAGCAGAAAAAAAAAAAGAAAAAGAAGCTTGAAAATCTAATTTTAAATACGAAGGATTAACAATTTGTTAAATGAGCATATAATTGTATTTGTTACTGCTAATTGTCAGCACCAGTATCTGATAAACTGATGAAGACAGGAGCAGTTCAGTTCTTTAAGAGTTCAGTTACCCAAAGTGATTCACCTCCCAGGAACAGAAGAGTTTGACACAAAATGAAAAATAGCAGCGGCATGCCAACCCAAGGTTAAAGGGACAAACGATTGAAATAGAGAAGATGATGAAATAGAGAAGAAGACAGCTATCCCAAGCCTGTTCTTGGTTTTTCTAGGTAGACATTCCAATGAACTTACCTATTATGAAAAAGTGAGATTGAAAAGTAACTACTCTAGGTCATTATGTATTGATTTCTTATTTATCTCCATGTGATAAATTTATATGTGACAAATTGAAGTGAATGCAAATAATTAATGCAAGTTAAACAGCAGTCATTTTTATGTACTGCACATAATTTGGACCGATATTATTACAGCCTTATAAGAATAATTATATCTACAAAATACCTTAGTGCATTATTCCATTTATAATAACAAGCAGGAGGGTAGTGAGTTTTCGTCATGCTTAACATCTGGTATAAACCTCTATGAAATCTAGATTTAAAATGAAAGCACAAAAGTTGGCTAACATTTTAAAAGGAAAATCTGCTGGTCTATCTCTGCAGTTCACCTGCCTTACAACTACAAATGTCTAGACTTTTGATACTTCTTAAATCAAATGTCTTGATACTTCTTGTATATGCCTAACTATCCTTTATGTATGTATTGAACTTTGCTATTACAGAGTATTACATTAAACTGTCATCTTGCAGAGATTATTAATTTTGACTAGTTTCTATCCATCTGCACATTACATACTACCCTCTATCACAGTGTTTGACAATCATGCCATGTTGAGGATAACCATAATTTAGAAAATGTTAATTATCATTTCTACTTCTAATCTAAAATGTCCCAGAGCCATGGTTTCACTGATACAAAAAAAATAGTAAACACTAAAATATAATTGCATTCTGTTCTGCAGGGGAATGTAACATTTATTAAAAATAAATAAAATGTATTATAGAAAATCCTGGTTAGTCTCAAGACAACTCATGGGTACCCTGTGAAATAATGTTGTGTACTAATCTTATCATATTTTCAGTGAAGAATTTTCTTCTTTTTATACCCTTAGAGCTCTCTTCTCCTATTGCTGAGGAAATGAGGAGCTGCTGTCTTCTCCCCTCTTGCATCCCGTAGTTTGGAGAAGAAAATTCTGAGATATTGGGTTATGAAGTGGAGATTAAGATGAAGGCCTGAAAATCACTGGAAAGAGAAGCAGATTAGTCTTCTTAAAAAGCTCTCCTGCTGCTACTTCCTCCATAATCCTCTTCCATTAATTAATGAACTGAATGACTGCATTGGTAGTGAAAAAGTTCTTCAACAAATATTAATGAATAATTCCACTGGGCCAAGAGGTAGGCTAGATTCTAGAGTATTATGAATAATCAATCTCCAGGCAAAAAGAAGTTCTGCCAATTGGGCAAATAATGCAACATCACATATAATATGGCAGGTTAATTAGCACAGTATATGGTAGAGAGGCAAACTGCTGAGACAGTAGAGATTTATTCATAAGAGTTGATTTAGAGTATACGGTATATGCCCTTCAAATGTAGATGAGAGAGCTTAAAATTAAATTTCTACTCCCGCCCTGTCCAAATTTTAAAAAGAAGAATATAATTATTTTCAAGTGTAACATGATAAATTATTTAGGGAAAAGTACCCTGTCACAAGAGTTAGAGGTCAGCATTTACTTTTCCCAAAATTCCATTGAGGAGAATTATTTTAAATTCTCGCTTTAAGTATGTGGTAGAAGGAAGAAATAGCGGGAGATACTTTGAGTAAGTAAAGTAAACGTTGCTGGAGCTGAGGGTGAGTTTAACGTACCCTGACGCTAGAGAGAAGTTTAGGGAAGAAATGCTGGTCAGCAGTATTTTATGATGAGATCTCTTGGTGGGGAAATTTTCATGGAGAGCTAAATCAGGCTCAGATAAACAGAGTCCTAGAAGGGAAGCTCTGAAGCTGCCCATAAAACAGAAGATTGTCACGAGAAACATTTAGACTGGGATCTGGCTCTTCCTCTAGATTTTTAGAACACAAAAATCTGAGATACTCTGATGTGGTTGTGGAGGAGTGAATCAAGTTTGGAGGAGATGTAATTTGATTTAAACAAAGGAGTGTGACATATCATATGTCATATATATACACACACTATATATACACACACACACACATCTTATGCATATATATATATATATGTAAAATTTTATTTTATATGAAACAAGACCTCACTCTGTCACCCAGGCTAGAGTGCAAGGGTGCGATCTTGGCTCACTGCAACCTCTGCCTCACAGGCTCAAGCAATCCTCCTGCCTCAGCCACCCCGTCCAGTAGCTGGAACTACAGTTGTGTGCCACCTTGTCCAGCTAGTTTTTGTATTTTTTGTTTCTCCATGTTGCCCAGGCTGATCTCGAACTCTAGACTAAAGAGATCCACCCACCTCAACCTCTCAAAGTGCTGGCATTACAGGCATGAGTCACTGTGGCTGGCCCATATAAATAATATTACAACTATAATAATTCTGTATGATAATGACTCTTTCTAAGCATGAAAAAGTAAAAGTGTGTCCCAGCATCTCACAATGCTATTCCTCATATTTATTTTTATCTTGCAATTTGCAGAAAAAGTCAAAGCCTTGCATTTTACTGAAGGTATATATCTATTCATATAACAGTGAAGAAAGGAATTCCATTCAAGGAAACATCAGAAAACTTAGGCAAACTTGCAAATTATTTGATTGGATTGGTAATGAGTACTGAGGAAAATACTGAGTATTAAAATGGACAGAAAAGTCAATAGAATCAAATTCAACCTTCTTATATTTTACAGAAGAAACAAGAGACCAAGGAGTCATGTATTATTAAGTAGACTGAACCAAGACTTGAACTCTATGTTCCTTGATTTGCATCCAGTGTTTAGTTCATTGACCCAAGCTACATTTTGGGGAGTAGGCATCATGGGCACCTTACTCCTACAAGCCACTAGTTTCTAAATGGAATGAAAAGTGAGGCCAGAAACTAATTGTGTGAGAGTGGAAAGATTACTTCCAACAATACCAGAAAAGTCTCTCATAAAGTAACAATAGAAAACTAAGGGCCATTTCTATGGCTACCAATTATTCTCCGCTGATCTGGATTTGGTACGGGCTTAAGTATATCAAGACTGAATTCATAATAACAAGCACAAGCTTGAGAGTTTGTGTGAAGGTACAGAAGATTGCCTGGTAGGAATTTTAAATTCAAAACAGACTATATGTTAATCATAGGCTGTCACCACAGAAGGTCACCATGAGTTTCTCAGAAATTACTGTAATATGACATTACTTCAGATAATTCATCAAAGTCTAAATAATGGTGAACAAACTTGCAAACTTCAGCTAGTGTCTCACAGTTGATCAAACTAGAAAATGTTGAACCATGCTTAGATCAATGTACCTGAGAATTTTATCTAAAATTACAGTACCACTTATTACTTTGTCATGATAGATAAACTTGGCAGGCTGACATTAATTAGTTATCTTCAAGCCTAATTAGCAATATTTTCTCTGTTATCTAAGTATCTCCTTCCCAAAAAGAGAGAGCTTCAAAATCTTGTATGACAATAATAGCACAAAGGAGGGGAAGGGGTTAGGAAAAGAGACATAATGTAGCATATTTTTTTCCATGTTATTGAAATTAAATAGAGTGTTTTATGTTAAAATGTTAATGGCAGTGACATTCTCATTGTTGCTTGGTGAGCATGGAGTAAGTCTGAGTATATATTAAATGATTTTAAAGCTTCTCTATAGGATTCTGGCTATAAAAAATAATAATAATGGAAATAACACTTCTGCCAAAGACAATGACTCCCTCTTGAGAAGGTAAGACAAACAAACAAAAATTATTAAAGAATAATAATGACCTTTGAAAGAAGGAAGCAACTATGACTGAGTACCAAGATACACATTTACACAACATCCCTTAGAGCACTCTCCAGTTCTTGTGGTGGCATTTCAAATAGAGCTCAGAAAGAAAGCCTCATCCTTACCTGTTTGAGGAGTAAATGAACAGAGTTCAGGGCTATCTGACCAGCTAAAAATTAAAGGGGAAATCCCAGAACAGAGAACCAGCAAAGGAGAGTTTCAAAATCTTATGTGACAATAATAGCACAAAAGAGGCTCTAGAAACATCTACATTGGATGGATTATTCTTTTGCATATTACAAAAATTAAGTAGACAAGGTGCTTTATGTTAAAATGTTTATTGTAGTCCCACAGGCAGCCAGCGGCAAAATAACTCATAAATATAGTAATAAAAAAAATTAAAATGCTATGCTAGAGAATCTCATTTTAATGCAAAAGGAGGCAGTAATGGAGAAATGGGAACACAAAATAAATAGGATATATGTAAAACAGGTACAAAAATGTCAGATATAAATCCTACTGATTCAGTAATTACAACAATTACTGAATAATCACATATTGATGAAATAATTCAATCCAAACCAGAAACTGTCAGAATAGAATTTAAAAAAAAAAACATGGTCCAACTGCATGCACTGTAAAAAAGACAGAGATATACTTTAGATTCAGAGACACAAATGAGATAGAAGAAAGAGGATGATAAAGATTGATACCAATCCTTCACAGATTCTTCCAAAAAATAGTAGAGAAGAGAGCACTTCCCAATTCATTGTTTGAGGCTCTGATGGCATTACCAGGAAAATATATATAAGAAATGAAAACTAAAGACCAATATTCATTTTGAATATAAATATGAAAGTTTAGCAACATAAAAAAGCATTACACATCATGACTAAGTAGGATTTATCCCAGAAATGCAAAGTTTAACATATAAAAGTCAATTCAATACATGATACATAATATTAAAAAGAAAAAAGAACGAAATTGCATTGTCATGTTGATTGGAAGAGAAAAAACATTTGATAAAATTTCATACCCCTCTCATGACGTAAAAAAAAACAACACTTAACAAGCAATAGAAATGAACTTCTTCCAACTGACAAAGCATATTTACAAAATTTAGCAGCTAGCATTGCATTTGATGGTGAAACACTGAAAGCTTTCCCTCTGAGATTAGGAAAAACCCAAGGATTTCTGTTTTTATTTACTTCTGTTTAACATACTACAGGACCTAGAAAGTGTAATTAAGCAAGAAAAAAAAATAAAAGGTACTTATGATGATAAAGAACATGAATTTATCTCTATTTGAAAATGCTGTCTTGTATATAGAAAATCCTAAGGAACACACACACACACACACACACACACACACACAACTAGAAAATAAATGAATTCAGTGAAGTTGTAGAATTCAAGATTAATATACAGAAATCCACTCTTTGTCTACATACCACTAATAAATGACACATAAGTGAAATTAATAAAACAATGACATTACAATAATATATGTATCCCCCAAAATTCATATTTTGAGCCCTAAATTCCCAATAAGATGATTTAAGAGGTAAGGCCTTTGGGAGGTAATTAAGTTATGAGAACCGAGCTCTCATAAATGGGATTAATGCCTTTATAAAAAGAGAAGACACAGGATCTCTCACTCTGTTCTTCACTGTGTGAGGTTACGATGAGAAATGGACTTCTACAAACCAGAAAGAGGGGCCTCACTAGAATCAACTATGATGATATTGTGATCTCAGACTTCCCAGTCTCTAGAAATGTAAGAAATACATTACCATTGTTTAAGTCGATGATACTCTGTTATAGTGACCTAGACTGAGACTCCAAAAAGTGCAAGATTTGTGCCCAGAAACAAGAAAACAGTTGACAGCAATTAAAGAAGACCTAAATAAATGGTAAGGTATTTTATAGTCATAAATTACTTAAGAGAACACTCAATATTGTTAATATGGAAACACTTCTCAGATTAATCCACAGATTCAATGTGATCCCTAAAACACACTTTTAAATTAAAATTGACAAATTAAATCTTAAATAACTATGAAAATGCAGACTAATGACAACTTGAATAACAAGAACAAAGCCATAGGACTCTTATCTCTGTTTTGAAATTTACTACAAAACTACAGTATACAAATCAAGATATTGTGGTAGTGGTACTGGAATACATATAAACATACAGATCAATGGAATATAATTGAGTCCAGAAGTAAGCCATTATGTTTATGGTCAATTGATAATTGACATGCATGCCAGGGCTACTCAGTAGGGGAAAGAATAGTGTTTTCAACTAATGGTTCTGGAGAAAATCAGTATCAACATGGAAAAGCATAGTATAGGATCCCTACCTTATATCATATACAAAAATTAACTCAAAATGGATTCTAGACCTAAATATAACAACTACAATTACTACACTCTTGGAAGAAAACATAAGAGTAAATATTCATGACCTTGGATTTGTCAGTGGTCTTTGATATAAAAGCAAAAGCACAGAAACCAAAAGAAAAGTTAACTAAATTATTTTCAGGAATATTAAAAAGAAGACTTTGGAATGTCATAATAAGTGAGATGAACAATTATCTACAATTCTTCAGAAATACACTATAAAATATCTTGAAAGACTAATCTATGATCCTTTTATTAACTTTCTTTCCTTACCTACTTTCTTTAACTTATTCTAATTAATCCTTTTCAAGCTCTTTCACTACAGTTTTTCTTTCTTCTGTTACCATCAACAATTCATATTGTTAAAATCAATAGCCCTTTTCTCATTTATCTTGGTTGACTTGACAGCAACTTTCAACAACTTTAATGCTCTCTGCCTATGTATTAAAACATTTTTACTCTGGACTTGAGTGATGCCACACTCTTTAGATCCTAATTGAATCACAGGATACTTCTTAGTTCTTTTGTAGACCCGCCTCCTTATACACCTCTCTAAATATGTAAAGACAGAAGCTCAGTCCTAGGTTCTCACTTCAGGATTAGAGGGAATATTTGTTTTCCTACTTTAAAAATTTTCAGAACATATCGCCAGCCAGTTTTTTATACTGCTTAGAACACTAACTTTTACCTAGGCCCAAGGAACACTGCCAGGTCCCATCTCTAGCAAGAAGGTCCTTTTATGAAAAATTTGTAATAATATTTTTGTAAGTCTATCAAGATGCGATCTGCTGAGGATCTTTTTTTTTTTTTTTTTTTGAGATGGAGTCTCGCTCTGTCACCCAGGCTGGAGTGCAATGGCACGATCCCGGCTCACTGCAACCTCTGCCTCCTGGGTTTAAGCCTTTCTCCTGCCTCAGCCTCCTAAGTAGCTGGGATTACAGGTGCCTACCACCATGCCCGGCTAATTTTTTTTTTTTTTTTTTTTGGTAGAGACAGTGTTTCACTATGTTGGCCAGGCTGGTTTCAAACTCCTGACCTCGTGATCCGCCCGCCTCGGCCTCCCAAAGTGCTGGGATTACAGGCGTGAGCCACCGTGCCCGACCTGAGGTGTTTTTTTTTTTTTTTCTATTTCCATAGGTTATTGAAAAACATGTGGTGTTTGGTTACATGAGTAAGTTCTTTAGTGGTGAATTGTGAGATTTCGGTGCACACATCACCTGAGCAGTATAGACTGCACCCAATTTGTGGTCTTTTGTCCCTCAACCCCTTCTCAACCTTTCCCTCTGAGTCCCCAAAGTACATTGTGTCATTCTTATGCCTTTGCATCCTTATAACTTAACTCCCACTTATGAGTGAGAACATGCGAGATTTGGTTTTCCATTCCTCCTGAGTTACTTCACTTAGAATAATAGTCTCCAATCTCATTAGGGTCACTGCAAATGCCATTAATTCATTCCTTTTTATGGCTGAGTAGTATTCCATAATATATTCCATATATATATATTCCACAGTTTCTTTATCCACTCGTTGATTGATGGGCATTTGGGTTGGTTTCACATTTTTGTAATTGTGAACTGTGCTCTATAAACATGTGTGTGCAAGTATCTTTTTTGTAAAATGACTTATTTTCCTCTGGGTAGACACCCAGTAGTGGGATTGCTGGATCAAATGGTAGTTCATCTTTTAGTTCTCTTTTTTTGAGATGGAGTCTTGCTCCGTCATCCAGGCTGGAGTGCAGTGGCATGATCTTGGCTCACTGCAAGCTTCACCTCCTGGGTTCACACCATTCTCCTGCCTCAGCCTCCTGAGTAGCTGGGATTACAGGCGTCTGCCACCACACCTGGCTAATTTTTTGTATTGTTAGTAGAGATAGGGTTTCACCATGTTAGCTAGGATGGTCTCGATCCCCTGACCTCGTGATCCACCTGCCTCAACCTCCCAAAGTGCTGAGATTACAGGTATGAGCCACCACACCTGGCCCTACTTTTAGTTCCTTAAGGAATCTCCACACTGTTTTCCATAATGGTTGTACTAATTTACATTCCTATCAGCAGTGTAGAAGTGTTTCCTGTTCACCACATCCGTGCCAACATCTATTATTTTTTTATTTTTTGATTATGGACATGCTTGAAGGAATAAGGTGATATTGCATTGTGGTTTTGCTTTTCTTTTCCCTGATCATTACTGATGTTGAGCATTTTTTCATATGTTTGTTGGCCATTTGTATATCTTCTTTTGAGAATTTTCTATTCATGTGTTTAACCCACTTTTTGATGGGCTTGTTTTATTCTTGATAATTTGTTTCAGTTCATTATAGATTCTGGATATTAGTCCTTTGCCAGATGTATAGATTGTGAATATCTTCTCCCATTCTGTGGGTTGTCTATTTATTCTGCTGACTGTTCCTTTTGCTGTGCAAAAGCTCTCTAGTTTAATTAAGTCCCAGCTATTTATCTTTGTTTTTACTGCATTTGCTTTTGAGTTCTTGGTCATGAAATCTTAGCCTAACCCAATGTATGGAAAGATTTTTTTCAATGTTATCTTCTAGTATTTTTATAATTTCAGGTCTTAGATTTAAGTCCTTGATCCATCTTGAGTTGACTTTTGTATAAAGTGAGATGAGAAACCAGATTCATTCTCCTACATGTGGCTTGCCAATTATTTCAGCACCATTTGTTGATTATGGTGTCTTTTCCCCACTTTATGTTTTTGTTTGCTTTGTCAAAGATCAGTTGGCTATAAGTATTTGGGTTTATTTCTGGGTTCTCTATTCTGTTCCATTGGTCTCTGTGCCTATTTTTATACTAGTACCATGCTGTTTTGGTGACTATGGCCTTATACTATAGTTTGAAATCTGGTAATGTGATGCCTCCAGATTTGTTTTTTTTGCTTAGTCTTGCTTTGGCTATGCAGGCTTGTTTTTTTGGTCCCATATGAATTCTAGGATTGTTTTTTCTAATTCTGTGAAGAATGATGGTGGTATTTTGGTGGGAACTGCATTGAATTTGTAGATTGCTTTTGGCAGTATGATCATTTTCACAATATTGATTCTACCCATCAATGAGCATAGGATGTGTTTCCATTTGTTTGTGTCATCTATGATTTCCTTCAGCAGTGTTTTGTAGTTTTCCTTGTAGAGGTCTTTCATCTCTTTGGTTAGGTATATTCCTAAATATTTTATTTTACTTTTTTGCAGCTATTGTAAAAGGGATTGAGTTCTTCATTTGATTCTCAGCTTAGTCGCTTTGGTGTAAAGCAGAGCTACTGATTTGTGTATGTTAATTTCATATCCAGAAACTTTGCTGAATTCTTTTGTCAGTTCTAGGAGCTTTCTGGAGGAGTCTTTAGGTTTTCTAGGAAAACAATCATATCATCAGCAAACAGTGACAGTTTGACTTCCTCTTTACTGATTTGAATTCCCTTTATTTCTTTCTCTTCTGATTGCTCTGGCTAAGACTTACAGTACTATGTTGAAGACGAGTTGTGAGACTGGGCATCCTTTTCTTGTTTCAGTTCTCAGAGGGAATGCGTTCAACTTTTCCCTATTCAGTATTATGTTGGCTGTGGATTTGTCATAGATGGCTTTTATTACATTGAGTTATGTCCCTTGTATGCCAATTTTGCTGAGAGTTTTAATCATAAAGCAATGTTGGATTTTGTCAAATGCTTTTTCTGCATCTATTAAGATGATCATGTGATTTTTGTTTTTAATTCTGTTTATGTGGTGTATCACATTTTTTGACTTGTGTATGTTAAACCATCCCTGCATCCCTGATATAAAACCCACTTGATCATGATGGATTAACTTTTTGATATGTTGTTGGATTTGGTTAACTAGTATTTTTTAAGGATTTTAGCATCTATGTTCATCAGGAATATTGGCCTATAGTTTTCTTTTTCAGTTATGTCCTTTCCTGGTTTTCATATTAAGGTGATACTGGCTTCACAGAATGATTTAAGAAGAGTTCCCTCTTTCTCTATCTTGTGCAATAGTGTCAATAGTATTGGTATCAATTTTTTTTTAATATTTGGTAGAATTCTGCTGTGAATCCATCTGGTCCTGGATTTTTTTTTGTTGATAATTTTTTTATTATCATTTCAATCTCACTGCTTGCTATTGGTCTGTTCAGGGTATCTAGTTCTTTCTGATTTAAACTAGGACAGTTGTATCTTCCCAAAAATTTATCCATCTCTTCTAGGTTTTCTAGTTTATGTGCATAAAGGTGTTCATAGTAGCCTTGAATGATCTTTTGTATTTCTGTGTGTCAGTTGTAGTATCTCCTGTTTCATTTCTAATTGAGCTTATTTGGATTTTCTGTCTTCTTTTCTCAGTTAATCCTGCTAATGGTCTATCAACTTTATCTTTTCCAAGAACCAGCTTTTTGTTTCATTTATATTTTGCGTTTGTTTGTTTCAATTTTTTTTAATTCTGCTGTCAACTTCGTTATTTCCTTCATTCTGCTAGGTTTAGGTTTGGTTTGTTCTTGTTTTTCTAGTTCCTTGAGGTGTGACCTTAGATTGCCTGTTTGTGCTTTTTCAGATTTTTTGATGTAAGCGTTTAGGGCTATGAACCTTCACCTTAGCTCTGCCTTTGTTGTATCCCAGAGGTTTTCTTAGGTTGTGTCACTATTGTCATTCAGTTCAAAGAATTTTTTAATTTCCATCTTGATTTCATTTTTGATCCAATGATCATTCAGGAGCAGGTTATTTACTTTCCATGTATTTGCATGGTTTTGAAGATTCCTTTTGGAGTTGATAGTGTTTTATTCCACTGTGGTCTGAGAGAGTGCTTGATGTAATTTCAATTTTCTTAAATTCATTCAGGCTCGTTTTGTGGCCTATCATATGGTCTATCTTGGAGAAAGTTCCATGTACTGTTGTATAGAATGTGTATTCTGCAGCTGTTGGGTGGAATGTTCTGTATGCATATGTTAAGTCCATTTGTTCCAGAGTATAGTTTAAATCCATTGTTTCTTTGTTGATTTTTTGTCTTGATGACCTGTCTAGTGCTGTCAGTGGAAGCAAAACTGAAGTTCCCCCCCATTATCGTGTTGCTGTCTATCTTATAATTTAGGTCTATTAGTAATTGTTTTATAACTGTGGGAGCTCCACTGTTAGGTGCATACATATTTAGGATTGTAATATTTTCCTGATGAACAAGGCCTTTTATCATTATATAATGACCCTTTTGGTATTTTTTTAACTGCTGTTTTAATGTTTCTTTTGTCTAATATAAGAATAGCTACTCCCGCTCAATTTTGGTGTCCATTTGCATGGAATGTCTTTTTCCCCCTCTTTCCCTTAAGTTTATGTGAGTCCTTATGTGTTAGGCGAGTATCTTGAAGGAAGCAGATAGTTGTTTGGTGAATTCTTATTTGTTTTGCAATTCTGTATCTTTTAAGTGGAGCATTTAGTCCATTTACATTCAACCTTAGTATTGAGATGTCAGGTGCCATTCCATTCATCGTGGTATTTGTTGCCTGTATACCTTGGCTTTTTGTTTTTTGGGGTTTTTAAGTTGTATTTTTGTTTTATAGGTCCTGTGAGATTTATGCTTTAAAGAGGTTCTGTTTTGATGTGTTTCTAGGATTTGTTTCAAGATTTAGAGCTCCTTTTAGCAGTTCTCGTAGCAGGCTTGGTAGAGGCGAATTCTCTCAGCATTTGTTTGTCTGAAAAAGACTATATCTTTCCTTCATTTATGAAGCTTAGTTTTGCTAGATAAAAAATACTTGGCTGATAATTATTTTGTTTGAGGAAGGTGAAGATAGGGCCCCAATCCCTTCTAGCTTCTACGGTTTCTGCTGAGAAATCTGCTGTTAATCTGATAGGTTTTCTCTTATAGGTTACCTAGTGCTTTTGCCTCACAGCTCTTACAATTTCTTCCTTCATCTTAACTTTAGATAACCTGATCACAATGTGTCCAGGTGATGATTGTTTTGCAATGAATTTCTCAGGTGTTTTTTGAACTTCTGGTATTTGGATGTCTAGGTCTCTAGCTGGGCCAGGGGAGTTTTCCTCAATTATTCCCCCAAATATGTTTCCAAAACTTTTAGATTTCTCTTCTTCCTCAGGACTACCAATTATTCTGAGGTTTAGTCATTTAACATAATCCCAGGCTTTTTGGAGGCTTTGTTCATATTTTCTTATTCTTTTTCTTTGCCTTTGTTGGATTGGGTTAATACAAAGACCTTGTCTTTGATCTCTGAAGTTTTTTCTTCTGCTTGTTTGATTCCATTACTGAGACATTCCAGAGTATTTGTTATTTCTATAAGTGCGACCATTGTTCCTTGAAGTTTTGATTGTTTTTTATTTATGCTATCTATTTCATTGAATATTTCTCCCTTCACTTCCTGCATCTTTTTTTGTCAATTTCCTTAGATTGGGCTTTGCCTTCCCCTGGTGACTCCCTGATTAGCTTAATAACTAGCCTTCTGAATTCTTTTTCAGGTACATCAGGGATTTCTTCTTGGTTTGGAGCCATTGCTGGTGAGCTAGTGTAATTTTTGGGGGGTCTGAAAGAACCCTGTTGTGTCATATTACCAGAGGTGCTTTTCTGGTTCCTTCTTATTTGGGTAGGCTCTGTCAGAGGGAAGTTCTAGGGCTCTACGCTGTTGTTCAGGTTCTTTTGTCTTATGGGGTGTTCCCTTGATGTAGTACTCTCCCCCTTTTCGTAGGGATGTGGCTTCCTGAGGGCCAAGATGTAATGATTGTTATCTCTCTTCTGGATTTAGCTACCCAGCAAGACTACCAGCTCCAGGCTGGTACTGGGGGTGGTTGTCTGCAGAGTCCTGTGATTTAAATCATCTGTGGGTCTCTCAGCCATGGATAGCAGCACCTGCTCCAGTAGAGGTGGCAGGGGGGTAAGATGGACTCTGTGAGAGTCCTTGGCTTGGGTTGCTTAATGCACTGTTTTTGTGCTGGTTGGCCTCCTGTAGGGAGTTGGTGCTTTCAAGAGAGCATCAGCTGTGATAGTATGGGGAGGACCAGGCAGTGGGCAGGGCCCTAGGACTCCCAAGATCATATGTCCTTTGTCTTCAATTACCAGAGTGGATAGGGAAGGAACAAGAGGGGCAGGGCTAGGCATGTCTGACCTTGGGCTCTCCTTGGGCGGATCTTGCTGTGGCTGCTGTCGGGGATGGGGGTGAGGTTCCCAGGTCAATGGAGTTATGTTCCTAGGAGAATTACGACTGTCTTTGCTGTGTCATGCAGGTTGTCAGGGAAGTGGGATAAAGCTGGCAGTCACAGGCCTCACTCAGCTCCCACACAATCTGAAGGGCCAGTTTCACTCCCACCTTATCCCCCAAGACAGCACTGAGTCTGTTCCAGACAGTGGCTGAGCGGGGCTGAGAACTTGCCCCAGTCTACCCTCCTCCCAGCTGCAAAAGTACTTAGGGCTTTCATTCTTCCCCAGCCTGTGGAGTCCGCATACCAGATTCAGTCCCTCCCCAGAGTTCTGGCCAGGAGACTTCTCAACCAGTTCAAATAGTTAACAAAGTTCAGCTGGAGGTTTCTTTCTCCCTGTGGCCTTTTCTCAGTGCCTCTGGCTGTCCTTCCCAAGGACCCCTGTGAGGAAGGGCAGAAATGGCTTGCTAGGGGATCCAGCATGCCCACAGGGCTTTTCCCACTGCTTCCTCTACCCTTGTATTTCACACTGCTCTCTAAATTGACTTAGCTCCAGGTAAGGTCAGAATCTTCTCCCATAATCTAGATGTTCAGGTTCCCTAATGGGGGTGTGTGTTCCAGGGTAGATGACCTCCCTTTCCTGCCTCCATAGGTAGGGCATTCATAATATTTGGTGTATCTCCTGAGTCCTGCAAGAGCAATTCGCTTTCTTCAGAGGATCTGTGGGTTCTCTTAGCTTTCCTAATGTATTCCTGCAGTCGTTCTGGAGCAAAAGTTCATGATGCAAGCCTCCACATGCCGCTCTGAGTGGGAGTTGCAATCTAGTCCTGCCTCCCATCCGCCAAGATGATTCCGTCTCTACTGAGGTTGTTGAAATTGAGATTAATAAACCCGTTCAAATATTAGTAGTATGTTAGAATATGTACACTGAGAGAGAGTATGACAACGCAATGCAAATCTTCCCATACTTGGGGTTAAAAGCATAATGTATACTGCGATATTTTAACATCTGTGCAAATTATGGTTACTTTGCAGTATGTTAGCAAATTGCATTAAGTATATTAAGTTAGCAAATTACATTAAGTATATCTGTTTTCATTACTGATAAAGTGTATGTAGAGTATGAAGCATAATAAAATACATTATTACTTATACTTTGTCTCCAAAATTTATTTTTCTAGGTTATCAATATCCTTATAGTCTCAATAAAATTGAGTTTAAAATATAAAACAATATGAACAAATGGTCTCTTCTCAGCATATGTAAAAAACAGCTTTTTTTACTTTAATGATTTAATTTGAGGCTATATAATCCTACAATTGTTTATACCTTATGTTGCAAATTGATATACCAGATCTCTGTTGCTGTCAGTTCTTCTTAAGTTGAATTTCTTTACATAAATTAAGTGGATTCCACATTCAACTCAGACATCACATGTAGATACTAAGCTTCATTTGTTTCCCAATAAGCACACGAAAATAAATATAAATGAATAAGTTGATCATTTTGAATGAACAATATCCTTAATTAAATCTTGGCTCATTTTCACATAAGTGGTTAGGATCTGATGTTATATGTGCAGGTGATTTTTATAGAGGCTCAATTTGTTTTATTAAGTTTGACAAAGAAAAGAGTTCTGTTTTGGCCATTTATATTCAATATGAAAAATGTTCAATATGTTTAATAAATAATTTTACCAAACATACCTAGTTCAATTAAAAACATCACATTGTGTGAGAATAAATCCCACAAACCATATAAAAAATATTTAGAATGCAATAATATTTTCAATGTAGAAACCATCACTGAGTAAAGTATACATTATATTTCATATTACAAAATTTTTCTTAAAACTCTATTCACTTGATAGTATGCTTAATTTTATGATCATATTTGGGTAAATTTTCATCTATGTGGCTGTGTACTTTAATTTGGAATAATAGAAACTAAGCTATCAAATGGATTTGACTAGTAGTACATCTAATTGATTAAATGAGTTTGATTTTCAAAATTAGTGATTTAACTGGCCAATTTGTTTTTTTTTTTACAATCTAGTTCTGGTATTTTTAAGAAACTATCTGAATAAATTGTGTAGGTATGTATAAGAGTCATCGTATTTAGTCTAACATTAAATTTTCTGATACTGTAGCCAAGACCAAGAGAAGTTATGTAACTTGCCCAAGTTACAAGACTGGTTCATAACTGAAAGGAGATCAGAATTCAAGACCTTTGCCATAATGTCTGGTTATCCTTCAATTGTGGTAGTCTTCTATCTTTTTGCCTCACAACCAGTCTGTTAAGTTGAAAGAATTCTCCAAAATATACTTACATAATACACTCTCTAAAGTACTGTTTAGTTGCTATTATTGGCATTACCATTTTAAATATCGTGAATCTTTGAGCTTTAGGGATAATAAAATGAAGTGTGAGAAGTTCTATTATACAGACTCTTAGAATATTTTATTTATTCATGAAGCTTATTGTGTCATTAGAACTAGCTTAGGTATACAACTTACCAAATTTAAGGGGGAGAATTTTGAACCATGTATGTGCAGTAAGTCATCAGTCCCATTGTGAATGGTACAATCTATTTATCTAAGAGCATTATTTTGTTTAGAGAGAGATCCCATGATCACTACATCTTTAATCTCGAATTTGGAGAAGCTGTGAAAGTATTACCCAATCTTCTCGCCATAAGCCTTAAACATCTTGTTACAGTCAGAAATACATCTGCATAGCACAGGTGTTGTTGGTCTTCCTCTTGTTCTTCACCAATACGTCAGATAAATAACAGAAGTGTATAATTATACATGTTAACTGTTTAAAGAAGATTTTTCAAAACAAAGGCTATTGATTTCAAGGTGGTTTAACAGATACCAAAATAACAAAATTTCCTAATTCTGAAGACAATGGAAAATTCTCAAGAAAATCAGCCTCAACACTGTCATCATAGTAACCTACGAGGAGGTCTCTCTGATGTGATAGTTGCTCATCTTTCCACACTCACTTTCCACTACACTGCAGCTTTCTCACCCAGCTCCAGCCACAAGGTCTCTTTTTAGCTCCTGAGAAGCATCTCATTTTTCCTAATTTAGAACATTCTATTTTCTTCTCCTTGCCTTTCACATGGCTAAATCCTGCTCATCTATTGAACAGCAGCTTAAATGTCACTTTTACAGAAAGTCTAAATTAAACCTTCTTGTTATTATATTTCATATTACATACACATTTTATTTATTAGTGGAATTTGTACATATATTTTTATTAATTTACTCAGGGCAAAAGATAAAATTTTAACAAATTTTAAGAAATTCTTGACTTTTTTGTTTGTGATTCATGAATTGGGCAGCATCTCATTTTATAAAATACAAAAGGTGCTCTGATAAGCTAAGCAGAGAAAGTGGGCATTATAGGTAAAGAAAAAGATGAAGAAAGTGGAAAAACAGGACAAAAAGTGGATTGGTCATTTCAAAGTTACTTTCCTTATAGGGTTAAAAATGAGGGGACAGTCTTATCATGATAGATCAATTAAACTGGGACCTTTTCGATTGGTTACTGCAAATCTCCTGTTTTTAGGAAAAAACTGGCTTCTTCTAAAGTTGTTTGATTGGCCAGGAGCGGTGGCTCACGCTTGTAATCCCAGCACTTTGGCAGGCCGAGGCAGGCGGATCACAAGGTCAGGAGTTAGAGACCAGCCTGGCCAACACAGTAAAACTCTGTCTCTACTAAAAATACAAAACAATTAGCTGGGCGTGGTGGTAGGCACCTGTGATCCCAGCTACTTGGGAGGCTGAGGCAGGAGAATCCCTTTATCCTGGGAGGTGGAGGTTGCAGTGAGCCGAGACTGTGCCACTACATTCCAGCCTGGGTGACAGAGCTAGATTCAGTCTCAAATAAATAAATAAATAAAGTTGTTTGATTATGTGTTACCTAGCATGGGTGACTCCATTATGGTTTTCCTAGTCTGTTGGAGCCTAGTGCAAGTGCTTAGTCCAAAACAATCACCTCCTATAAATTATACTTACCACTCATAAAAATTATTTAATATTTATCTTTTTAACAGACTGTAAGTACTAACACGGCTTGAGATAGATATCTTTTTTTACCATTCATATGAAGATTTTACACTTGGTAGCATACACTCAATTTTTGCTGTTCTGTGAAATGAAACATGGCTATACCCAATAATGGATTTCCAAATGCGTATCTCTGTTACTTCTCCCTCCAACTTCTAAAATTTCCCCAATGCCTTGACTCCAGTCCACCTACTTAGTAAAACAATGTTATGTCTTTTGTCCAAATATATGCCAAATCTCATACCAAATTGTGTCCTCTGAAATGAGCCACCTCACACAATAAAAATCACTTAAAAATTAGATAATTCCTATTTGTATTTGTTTACTTATACTTTGATTATACATTATATTTTAAATAGGAAGTAAAGTATATGAATACTTTGTGAGTAGTTTATAGTACGAAAATACATTCTCTTTTGTTTCCTACATTTGCTATGTCAAGGTTCAATTTATTTGATTAATTTTATTAATCAAATAAACTATATAAAATTGAAGAGTTTATGAATCGAAGTATGAACAGATGCCCAATAATAAATTAACATGTCATCTTCTGGTAAATTTTAATTCACACTGATTATCTCTAAAAAAGACAATGGAATATTTAGTGTTATAGCAATATACCAGAAATAAAAGACACGGGCTGGGCGTGCTGGCTCACACCTGTAATCCCAGCACTTTGGGAGGCCGAGGCAGGTGGATCACACGCAGTCAGGAGTTCAAGACCAGCCTGACCACCATGGAGAAATCCTGTCTCTACTAACAATACAAAAAAATTTCCTGGGTGTGGTGGTGTGTGCCTGTAATCCCAGCTACCCTGGAGGCTGATGCAGGAGAATCACTTGAACCCGGGAGGCGGAGGTTGCAGTGAGCTGAGATCGCACCATTGCAATCTAGCCTGGGTGACAAGAGAAACTCCAACTCAAAAAAAAAAAAAAAAAAAAAAGGGAGAAAGAAATAAAAGACACGACATTTTACTTTCATTAAACCTAGGTTTATTGTTAAAAGCAGCTAATTTTGCTGCATGACGAGGTAAGAAAGCAAGTTGCTTACAGACTAGAACATGTGCAAAATGGAATTTGCTTCTGTCCTTTTCCAGAAGACAACATTTCCAGATTTTACTTCTTTAAAATATATTATTCATAAAATTAGAGAAGTTTTTCAAACACTTTTCAAAAACATGATAGAAAAGTTATTTGTCATCTTCATCAGAAAACAGTCTTGATTTAGGATGAGGAAATATAATTAGCTATTCCATTCATCAGTATTTCCTATCCTTTTAAAAAAGATACTGTCTTTAATTCTCTAAAAAAGATATTTTCTTTAATTCTACAAAATATGCAAGGTCTGTAGAGTAGACATCCACAATCATGTGTGGATGCTCTTTTTGAATTTCTTTTAATTTGTAAGATCTTTATTATGCTGTCCAAGATGAAATAAAAGGAAATTTAATGTAAATGTTATTACCTGTTAAAAGCCATGAAGTATTTATTTCGATTTATGCAGAATATTTGTCAAAAAATTTTGTCCAAGGTAAAAGAAATAAGAGGAGGTGAAAGGAGAGGGAAGCAACTATCAAAACAAATATACAGTAAGTTTAAAACAGACAACCAGAGTGTAATCAAAACAGGACATTGAATCCTATTTACTTTTGTCAATGTAGCTTCCTTCATTTCTAATTATCCCTTTCTTCCCAGGTATTTTTACTTGGTAACTGAAAGCTATGCTGTTAGATTTCTCTCTTTCTCATCAGACACTGGGTTGATATATATATATATAGTTCTTGTTGGTTTAAGGCTGCCACGATATTTCCCCTTGGGGAGAAGATACCATTTTCAATCCAGAAGGTTAGCAGAATGTGAAATCATTTTTGATTACTGTTCTTCTATTTCATCCTGGTTCAATTAGTATAGGATATTGTATTTGTGAATTACCTGTCATCCAAGGCTTCCTGGTATGTTTATAATAGCAAATGAACTATAAGCTAAGAATTTTCTATAATGTGGATGTAAAGCTGTTTATTATGTGATCCACAATGATTGCATTGGTATATTAGCTAAGAAAGGAATTGTGTATATTAATTCATTTTACAATCGCATTATTTTTGCTATGCCATCCCCTTATCCACGCCAAACAAAAAATAAAGTAAGAATACAGATTATTTTCATTGGTAATTCATATAAGATCCTCAACATTACATAAAATTATTGCCCTTAAGGTGGTGGAAAAGTAGACTAAAACTATCCATTTTCAGATTATTTTAGTTGTACAGATAACTTATTAATAGAAGAAAAGTAAACAATTAGAGAATCTTAGAGAATCTCTTATTATAACTGATTCCTACATGTGATTTAAAATTTTTAATAATTTCCATTTTAGTAATTATTGAAAGAAAGCCAAATTATATTAATTTCTGTTTCATCTGGTTATATGTGAAACATCAGAATTGCAGTCTATTAAAACACCATTTCATTCTCCAGAGATTAGAATCTTGATATCTCAAAGGGTAAATTTAGCCCTTTGTATATATTAATGGTAAAATAATACTGAGAGCTAATTTAGCATTATTGTGTTATAGCAATCAAAATATCCCCTGTATTTTTAACATTATAAGCAACACAAGTCATTTTTATATATACATTTAACACTAATCAAATAAAGAATAGAAAACTATGACAGGAAAGAACACAAAAATTATTTGAATATCTCCAATATTTTACAAGTCAAATTATATGTGGTCTAAAGAGGAAGTAATCATGTGTATTCTCCAGACTTCCAGACTTTAAGTACTCGTCTGATATATTTTCACTTTTTGAGTAACAAATTCCTTTCTCTCTCTCTCTTTTTTCCCCTTCCTCCATTCCTCCTTTCCTCCCTTCCTGTCTTTCTCCCTTTTTTTCCTCTTTTCACAGGCAGATGAGAAATTTTGAAAGATATGCAGCAACCTAGTGTAATGATATATGTATGATTAATATTAAAGTGGTTATATTGTATATATATGCTGAAGATTGAAGTAATTTTATATAGAGAGAAAGAGAAACTACAAACAACTGAAGATATAGGAGACTTAAACAACTGAAGATATAGGAGACTTAAACAACTGAAGATATAGCAGACTTAAGCCTAACCTAGATATAAGTTACATCCCATTGAAAAATAAAAATTTATTCAATTTAAAGCACAGCTCCCTATCATTATATTAAAAACCTCTTTACTGCCTCATTTCACTGAGTAAATCTAACTGCTAAGCAAGAATAAAACCTTCTCTCATTAAACTGGCATCTTTATTCCCTTGAGGTTCGAATTCTATTTGCTCCCCTGGAGGATTTTATTTTATTTTATTTTATTTTATTTATTTATTTATTTATTTATTTATTTATTTATTTATTTATTTAATTTTGAGACAAAGTCTCGCTCTTGTCCCCCAGACTGGAGTGCAATGGCGCAATCTCGGCTCACTGCAACCTCCACCTCCCGGGTTCAAGCAATTCCCCCGGAGGATTTTAATAGTTAAAAATACGTATTTCCTTTCTTTGATTCTCTCAGACAAATTTCCTGTTTGGTATTTCACTCAGTTTTAAGTAAAACAGAAATTAAATTGTGAGCTTTGTCGTTCCTTGTTCTGTTATGCAGCCAAGCAAACTCTCAGATCTTCAGTTATGCGACTGCAATATTGCAATTAATCCCCTTTTCAAAGGCAGGATGATAGTCAATTCTCCATAAGAAAATATGATCTAAAGAGTGACATTCATTTTTATTATTTCAAAACTACAAGTCAAGAATATCTAATTTTTCTATACAAAGTAATAAGTATTTTAATTATCCACATTTATTTTCCTCAGTTAAAAAATGGAGAAAATAATCTCTGGCCCCTGTCTTCTTCTTGTGAGTTGGCACAAAATTGCTTAGGTAGATAATAGACAGTGTGATTGGAATTTTTGTGTTGTTAAGAGATTAGCAAGTTCGCTTTCTTTGGTATGTTTTGGTTTGATTAGGTTTGGGGTAGGGGAAAGTGCCCATTCTCTTACGTGCTGTTATAAGTTAATTGTAATATTCAAGAATATTAGAAGTTAAAGATGAACTTGTAAAATAATAGAAAAACTTGAAACAACATATTTTCTAATATGACAGCAATTCTTATTCTAGTTGTAAATTTCCAAAGTTTTTTTTTTATTTTTATCAATTGAAGTAATGCATTTTACACTCATTTAGGACTACCCTACTATATGGCAGGCAAAGTGCTAATGTCATCAGTTCTGGAAGCATAGGAGAGAGGAAGACAGAAATCCAAATCAATGACTATGAACAGTATGGTAATTGCTTGATAGAAATATGTAAAGAATGCTAAGAAAAAATATAAAGGAGGAGAATTGAAACCAGGCTGATCTTTTTTTTTTTTTTTTTAAGAGGGAGTCTTGCTCTGTCACACAGGCTGGAGTGCAGTGGTGCAGTGGTGCCATCTTGGCTCACTGCAACCTCTGCCTCCCAGGTTCAAGCGATTTCCCCGCCTCAGCCTCCCAAGTAGCTGGAACTGTAGGTGCCCGCCACCATGCCTGGCTAATTTTTTGTATTTTTAGTGGAGACAGGGTTTCACTGTATTAGCTAGGATGGTCTCGATCTCCTGACCTCGTGGTCCGCCCAACTCAGCTTCCCAAAGTACTGGGATTACAGGCGTGAGCCACCGTGCCCGGCCAGGCTGATTTCTTAAGTGTCCAGATAGTGGTTAAATTTTGCCTCAGTTTTAGGCTTGAGGAAATAACAAATGTAAATCCAGAAGGTTGTGGGAAAACATGACATCTGTAGAATTTACTGGTATTAAAAGTAATGGCAAAACCGCAATTACTTTTACACCAACCTAATATTTCCATATGACTGGACTAGAGGGGGTGGATGGGATTCATGAAAAATGTGACTAGAATGAGAGACTGGAGCCAAAGTATATAGGACCAAGTGTGCTACGTAGGCAGTATTTTATTTATTCTAAACACACCAAGAAGATCACCATTAATGAATTTTACACTGGGAAGTGATTAAATGAGGTTTATTTTGTTTCCCCAGGAAATTATTTTGTTATTTGGGCATTTAAGGATATTCTAGGATAAGGACAAGACACATGAAGTTATATAAAGGGCATACAAACCAATTCTTATAGAAGAAATTAAAGAAGTTAATAGCAAGCCTCATTATATCTCCCAAATTGCCAAATTCACAAACCTATGTGATTTTATAAGTGAATATGAACAAACTCTCAAAATTACACAATTTCAATACCATTTAAAATTTTTTAGTAAAGAGAACAAGGAAATATTTCAAAGATCTGTCCTTAACAAAGGCTGGGACGTATTAACAAAATGTGACAAAACCAGTATTAAAAAACAACTAAAAATATATACTCATGTATATATTCAAATTTATTTTAAATAACAGAAAAGAAAATCTGGTAGTATATCCACATCATGACTTATATAATTCATTCTAGATTTGTAAGAACAGTAGAATATTAGAAAGTCTATAAATATAAATCATTAATAAGTCACAGAAGAAAAAGATAATGTTATCTCCATAGCTGCAGAAAGGCATTTAATTATATTCAATAGCCATTAGTACAAAAAACTCACACGAACACATACACAAAAACAAAGACAAAAATAGCAACTACCAAAAATACTAGTAAAATAGACATAAATGAAGATATGGAAACTGCTGTATCATGATGACTGTGTGTATGCATGTATAAATAAAATGCCATCAGTATTACCTACTGCTGAAATTTTAGAAGGACTTCCATTAAGTCAGGATATAACTACCACATTATTATTTAATATTTTTCTAAGTGATGCAGTTGGGAAAGCAAAGGGAAGCAGAAAGCAAATTAATCAATGTTCATCAGAAGAAAATTAATAACTTAATTGTGAAACACCCATACAAAGTACCGTTAGCTTTGCAGTAATGAGATAAGAGGAATGAAATAAGTTTATATGTGGTATTATGAGATGATCCATATGGTAAGTGCAAATAGCAATAACTATTATAGAAGAAAGTGTATAAGCTCTTATTTCTGTAAAAAAAAGATGTATACTTGTTTATCTGCTTATACATGCATACAATTTTGGGATGATATATACATACCTTAAATGAACAGACCAGTGTCCTTTCTCTTTACTTTTGGTAATGGGATTATTATTAATTTTTGTTACGTACTGTGTTTCCTTTTTGGTTATTTTGTTATTTATTTATTTATTTTTTTTTTGTTTTGAGATGGAGTCTTGCTCTGTCGCCCAGGCTGGAGTGCAGTGGCACTATCTAGGCTCACTGCAAGCTGCAAGCTCTGCCTCCTGGGTACATGTCATTCTCCTGCCTCAGCCTCCCGAGTAGCTGGGACTACAGGCACCCGCCACCACTCCCAGCTAATTTTTTTGTATTTTTAGTAGAGATGGGGTTTCACCATGTTAGCCAGGATGGTCTCGATCTCCTGACCTTGTGATCTGCCCACCTCGGCCTCCCAAAGTGCTGGGATTACAGGCGTGAGCTACCGCGCCCATCCTTCGTTTTTATTAGTCGTAGGCATGAATAATCCTTTTTAAAGAGGTTACTTTAAAAATCTATAGAAATTATGTTCCTTAATTTTTAAAAATTATTTTCATATTAAAAATTTCACCTCTTTAAATCAATCAAATCACAAACTCCCTGTTCCATATTTATCCTCTTTCACAACACAGATAATTTTGATTTTTTTAGTATCTATTTTTTAAAATCATATTTTAGTTATTGTAGTTTAAAATTGGGGTTACATCTCTTATTTCCTACTTCTGTGGAAAGACATTGAGTCATAAGACTTGACGACTAAATTTTTAGAAGAACTATTCTATAAAAAGTTAATCACAAATAGTTCAAAGTGAAGGCAATTAAACTTTTAAAGGCATGGTCTAGAATAGCAATACTGGTTTACAAATGAAGGGGTGTAGATCATTGCTTCTAAACATTAGTAGGAGTATGGCCTTTAATGGTCTCTAATAAAATAGGTTAATTATATTTCTACATTCGCTTAGGGCAAAACTCTTCTCTCATTATACAGGATACAAAATCTGAAACCAAAGTAGATCCATGGATTTCATTTAAGATTTCTGAATTGGAGGATGTTTTTGAATGGGTTAAGGAAGAATTTTGTTTCTGATGAGACAGAGAAGCAGAGATGATGAAAGAAATAAGGTACTTAAAACAAAAATAAAGTGAATAATTGAACATTAGCCATTGAAATTAGCATAGGCTTCTCTCCAGATTGTGAGGCTAAAATAAATAGTCTTCATTCACAAATCATCTTAAAGGCTTAAGTCCATATGGAATTTTAAGTATAAATAATGCAGATTGATTTACACTGAATGAATAAATTTTTAACTCTTTATTTTTTTACATGGTTTTATATGACACCTTTCACTTCCTTCATACTGAAACAATAAAAGGAGTCACAAAATCTCTTAAAACAACTTACTCCAAAATCATCAACATGAGACGTATGAGGTGTTAATCTGGAACATATACGAACTGAGGTGATGCAGGGGGAGTTTTAGTACTGTTCTGATCATCCAAGATTAAGAGGAATCTTGGTGATGGAAAGCTTTGTAAATAAGCTGCTGTTTTTTTCTTCAGCTGACTCTGACTTTGAAGTCTACTAATATACATGTCAATGAAATGAAATAGAGAATCTAGATTCAAATAATTTTCAGTAAAAGGGAAGTGTTCTTACCATAATTATAATTGATATCTTGGGCTCTAAACGAATTATTTCTTTTATTGGCTTTGGCTTCTGTAACCTCTCATTGATTCTTACCATTATTTTCACTTTCTGAGGATGCAAATTCAGTAATTTAAGTAAGCTGTAGGCCAGGAAGGTTTTATTGTTGTTATTTCATTAATCTTTTTTTGCTTTCTTTTTAAATAGTGACAGTCGAATACATCCAGCAAATTACCTAGTATTTATAAATTTTTATTTGCTATTTTACTAGAAAGTTCTTAAACACTATAATTTTCATAAAGTAATTACACAACTTTAGCTATATACTTTGCAAGATCACATATTAATATATTTGTTTATCTTTTGTTTTCACAGTAAATAATTTCCCTTACTAAAAGAATACCACTAACAGATATCTACTCATATTATTTTTTACAATTGCTCCAGTGCCATTTTATGACTTTGTAAAACTGACAAAGTAAATCTTTTTTTCTGTGACGTATAAGGTCTTGCCAATTTGCTTTTTCTGTGACATTCTCCTAGCACATGGTGCATCAACTTATGGATTAAAAAGCCTAAGCATTTATTAAATAAGAGAAGTAAATTAGTTGATAATAAAAATAAAATAGAAACTATCTCCTCTACATGAGTCTATGTAGATATGAATAACAAGGAATAAAGAATAATTATTAAGGTAGCAATAAATATAAAATGTTGGTATAATTCATTTAGGTCTTATATATAAACCCATTCATTATTTGTACACATAACTGCTGTGCTTGTTAAGTCTTGCCTTTAACTCCTCCAAGTAATAAAGAATAAGTAAAATAATGAGTAATATAAGAGTAAGTAGAAGACTTCACAGCCTCAGATGTTCATGGACCATAGATGTGAGCATTATTTCTTTAGTATAGGCTATCAGTTTCAAACAGGTGTTTAAAATTAAAAGCTGAGCATTAGATTGAATATTATGTTAAAAAAAAAAACTAAAAATACCACATGCTTCTTGATGGGTTCACCAAGAAAATAGTCTAATGATTCACAAGCTTTAGAATGTGGGGCTGGTTAAAAACATAGATGATAAAACTTCACTGGTAAAGTCAGATTTATTACAGATTGCAAGAATCTGCCTTTTCACTAGTACCACATTTCCATCTAATGTGTTATTAGAGAAATACTAACCTAGGGAATTTTCTCAAATTTTTCACATGTAGTAATTGCTTTTTTACATTGCCCAAAGACAAAGAGGCACAGAAGACCTATTCTCACGAAAGAGACTCACGGTAAACAACCGAACAAAATGACAATTAATAATAAGAAGCAACTGCCAAACAGGTTAGAATGTTTGTGTTGTCTTTACAGAATATTCCCCCTGGGAAGATAAATTATTTCATGTGACCGTAGTTCTTGTAATATGGAATTAAACATGGGGAAGAGGTTTATTTGATCAGATAGATTTAAGAAATTGTGAATGGATGATTTACTCACCTGCACTACAGGACTTCTCAAACCACAAAATTTAGGTATGAATTCCAGAGTATCTTGTAGAAATGTAGATTCTGATTCTGTAGATGTTGCGTGGGCTCCCAATTTCTGAATGTTTAACAAGCTCTCAGGTGATATAGATACTGATGTTGCTGGTCCAAGGACCACACCTGAAGGAACAAAGCACTAATAAGACCCTGGAAAAATCAAAGATTCTAGTCAGCTGGTCAATATACTTTTCTTAAGTTCCCAGTTTTTGCCTAATAAACTTTTCCAAGAAAAAATACATTTCAATTAAATATGTAAAAAATTTATCCATATACATATAACTATATAACTGATATATACATATATGTGTATCAATGCTTTTTTGAGAATATTCTTTGGGAATAGATGAGCTAAATAAATGCATGTAATTACTGAATTTCATAGACTATATATATTCTGATACTTAGTATGTTTGCTAATCTTTTCTTTCTTTCTCAGCAACCTTTAGAGGGACTTATTATTAGTCTATATACTGACTAAACTCCACATATTTCTTTGAACATTGATTGATTCCTTCAACAATAACAAACTATCATTTATATACAAGACATTGCCAGTTTATATGAAACTACGAAGACCATTACATTTGGATTACTGGTAAGAGTTTTAAAATTAAGTTTGGAAAAACCCCAAATAAGATAGACTAGGATTAGTTCTTTAATACAAATATGGATCAAGTGCAAACTAGGTCTTATTAGCCCCATATTATAAATAGAGAATTAAAAACTCCTACAGATTAAGCTACTTGTTTACATTCATATAAATGGCAGAGCTGAGAATCTAAACCACAACTATCTCAATGCAAATTCTAACAACATGTCCTCATATATGAGGTTGCAGGAAAAAGTATTCAAAGGGAAGATGAGAATGAGTAATTGTTACTATAATGGGTCCGTTACCCAATGTGCAAAACAAGTCAATAGGCTGAGTAACCAAGTTGCAGCAAAGAAACAGGTTTAATCATAGGATCACTGAACAAGGAAACAAGAGAAGACCTAAAATCCATCTCCCTAGGGGTTTAATCACTAAGCTAAAAGGAAAAGTCAAACTGGGAACTCAGGGCAAACCTGCCTCCATTCTATTCAAAGTCATACCTCTGTTCACTGAGATAAATGCATATCTGATTGCCTCCTTTGGAGAGGCTAATCAGAAACGCAAAAGAATGAAACCATTTGTATCTTATCTACTTAAGAACTGGAAGCCCCTCCCCACTTGAGTTGTTCCACCTTTGCCTCGAGTTGTCCTGCCTTTCTGGAGAGAACCAATGTTCATCTTACATGTGGATTGATGTCTCATGTCTCCTTAAAATGTATAAAACCAAACTGTGTTCTGACCACCTTGGGCACATGTCATCAGGAACCCCTGAGGCTGTCATGGACACACGTCCTCAACCTTGGCAAAATAAACTTTCTAAATTAACTGAGACCTGTCTCAGATATTCAGGATTCACACAGGTATACCCATATCTGACTTTTTATTTGTATTTAATATCATCTTTTTGAGAGATGGCTAGATTGATACACAGCTATAAATCATAGATTGCTATATAACATCCATTATATAAATATACTATATTTTATGTATCCATTATACTGAGATGGTCAGTTTTGTTGTTTTCAGATTTTTCTATTAACTAAAATGCTTCTATGATCTTCTTTCCTGGTAAATGTGTTCAAGAAACTGTCTTCTCTAGAAAGTGAAGAGTATGAATATTTTCTACTTAACCAAATAAAATTAATTACTTACATAAAGTTTCACCAATATGGGCCAGGTACAGTGGTTCACAGCTGTAATCCCAACACTCTGGGAGGCCGCAGAGGGTGGATAATCTGAGGTCAGGAGTTCGCGAGCAGCCTGGCCAACATGGTGAAACACCGTCTCTACTAAAAATACAAAAAAATTAGCCAGGCATGGTGGTGCACGCCTGTAATCCCAGCTACTCAGGAGGCTGAGGCAGGAGAATTGCTTGAACCCTGGAGGTGGAGGTTGCAGTAAGCTGAGATCATGCCATTGCACTCCAGGCTGGGCAACAAGAGCAAAACTCCATCTCAAAAAAACAAAGAAGTTTTACCAATATGCTCTCCTATGAGTAAAGTATACATGTTAAACAGTATATGTTTTATTTTAGTTTTCATGAGAATTTCCCATTTCATTAACAGGACTGAGAATTTCTCTTGGGAGGCCGAGGAGGGCAGATCACAAGGTCAGAAGATCAAGACCATCCTGGCTAACATGGTGAAACCCAGTCTCTACTAAAAATACAAAAAATTAGCCAGGCGTGGTGGTGGGCGCCTGTAATCCCAGCTACTCACGAGGCTGAGGCAGGAGAATGGCATGACCCCAGGAGGTGGAGCTTGCAGTGAGCCGAGATCATGCCACTGCACTCCAGCCTGGGGGACAGAGTGAGACTCCATCTCAAAAAAAAAAAAAAAAAAAAAAAAAGACGGAGAATTTCTCATATGTGTCTTGGCAGTTTTCTATTTCTTTTCTCTGTAATATGCAATAACATATTTTGCCCATTTTACTATTGATTTGTCATTTCTCTTATTAATTTGTAGTTCTTTTTAAATATAGTCTGGATACTAATAACTTGTCAGTTAGTAATGGCAAACCATTTTCCAGTTTGTGTTTTCTACTTTTTCCATGGTAGACTTTAAAGAGCAACTATCATTACTGTCAGTGTTGTTCATCTCTATTTTTAATAATTTTCAGTTTTTGTAATGTTCTTAAGAACCTCTCTATACCAAATTGATAAACATAGTTTCTAATATTATTTTAAAACCTTTGAAGTTGTGTCTTCCACATATATATTTTCATTCTTCCAAGAATTGAAATTTTGTGTAAAGCAAGGATTCCATTTCTCATTCCATCTCACCTTGATATGTATTACAAACAATTTGTTCACAATGTGTTGAATAGTCCATAATTTCCCCCTAGGTATGCATCGTTAATTCTGTTATTGATCAAGTTTTCATGTACGAGTGGGTCTGTTTATTAGCCCTACAAATTTCATTGGACAATTTATCAATTCCACAGGGTCTCCATTAATATAATTGATATGAGTTAGGGCAGTTCTCCCCACTAGTTTGTGCTTTTCCAGGAATGTCTCAGATACTCTTTACTCTCAGATGCATTTCTAATAAACTATTGAAAATACAATCATGTACCACACAATATTTTGGTCAATAATGGACTACATATATGATAGTAGTCCCATAAGATGATATTACCTTATTTTTACTGTACTTTTTCTATGTTTTGATATGTTTACATACATAAATACTTTCCAATATGTTACAATGGCCTACAGCATTCAGTACAGTCCTGTGCTATACAAGTCTGTAGCCTAGGAACAATAGGCTACACCACATAGCTTAGGTGGGTAGTGGGCTATGCCACCTAGTTTTGTGTAAGTACACTCTATGATGTTCACACAAAGATGAAATTGCCTAATGATGTATTTCTCAAAATGTGTCCCCACTGTTAAGCAATGCATGATTGTATATGCAAGACCCCAGTGAAGACTGAGTGGTTCACAAAAGAGTGACATCTTCATAATTTTGAGTTTTCATGAAAACAGTATAATTTTTCACCAACCTTAAGGTTCTCATTCACAGTTTTAAATATAAATTTAGAATTTCTCCTATACATCTTCATTATAATTTACATTCTATTACAATTACATTACATATATTTTTAAAAATTACTTTTCAAAAGTATTTGTTTCAAGGAGAGAAATGACTCTTGAAGTACGGAATTCATAACTTTTAACTGTATAAAATATCTTACCGATTAAAATTATAATATAGCTCTTATTTTTATTGAAAACATAATCATATAGGCATATGATCTGGAAATCATAACTTTCACTTGTATAAAACATCTTATTGATTACAATAATAATATAGTTCATATTTTTATTAAAAAATCATAAAGGCATATAATCATAGGCAATACATCTTCATTATAATTTACATTCCATTACTATTATATTACATATATTTTAAAAAATTACTTTTCAAAAGTATTTGTTTCAATGATAGAAATGACCTTTGAAATGTGGAATTTATAACTTTCAATTGTATAAAATATCTTATTGATTAATATAATAATATAGCTCTTTTTATTTAAAAATAATCATCTGGCATATAATCATATAGGCATAATCATAGAGGCCTATGATCAAAAAATATTCTTTTTTGCCTTGCAAATCCATATTAATTTTAACTCTGCTAATATTTAATTAAAAAGTCCAGTGCACATCACAATATTGTATATTTCCTGAGTTTTAAGTAAAGTTTTAAATGTTTCACCATGAAAACATACACTCCTTGCAACTTTTGATAACTCTCCTTTAATAAAATTTAAGAGAGTCCCCTTCTAGTCCTAAATTTAGAATTATGTCTACAATTAGTGGCTTAAATTTATCAAATGATCATTCTGAATCTATGGAGTTGATCATGTTTTTTCCTCTCTATTTTAATAATATGGTGAATATACATAAATTTAAATATTGAATTAGTCATGTGTTCTCAGCAGAATTCCATTGAATGCATAGTACATTGTTATACATTTTTCGTGTTTTTTTGTAGAAATATATTTGATTATTGGTTGCATATCATACTGGGTATAATATTATTTTAATTCCTTTAATCTCTTTTAATTACTTTTGATACTATTTATTATTCTAAAAGTTTTCCACTTTGTCACCTTCAAATACAAAAGTTTAAAATGATTCATAGTAGCTTCTTATTTTTTAAAATCTGATATAATCTATTCATCTTTGTTTAGTCATAACATGTTTAATCTATGTCATCTTCCTTCTTTTTCTCATCATTGCACAAGTTTTCCAATATTAAGAGTTTTTTAACAAGCCCTCTATAGTTTGATATTTATTTTGGGGAATGGTATTATTTATGAGGTCAGTAATATATGCTTGTATATTACTTCATTTCTCATACTTTTTTAGTTTTAATTGTTTTGGATAATTTCTTCTTACGGACATTTAGCTTAATGGCTTTCAGCCTTTATTAGTTACTACTGTATACAATTTAAAGTTAGGAGTCAGCTGGGCGAGGTGCCTCACACCTGTAATCCCAGCACTTTGGGAGGCCAAGGGGAGTGGATCACCAGGTCAGGAGACCAAGACCATCCTGGCTAACAGGGTGAAATCCCATCTCTACTAAAAACACAATACAATTAGCCAGACATGGTGGCAGACGCCTGTAGTCCCAGCTTCTTGGGAGGCTGAGGCAGGAGAATGGGGTAAACCCGGGAGGTGGAGTTTGCAGTGAGCCGGGATCGCACCATTGCCCTCCAGCCTGGGCAACAGAGTGACATTCCATCTCAAAAAAAAAAACAAAAACAAACCGCAAAAATTAGCCAGACGCAGTGGTAGGTGCCTGTAATCCCAGCTAGCAGGGAGGCTGAGGCAGAAGAATCGCTTGAGCCCAGGAGACGGAGGTTGCAGTGAGCCGAGATCACACTACTGCTCTCCAGCCTGGGCAACAGAGTGAGACTCCATCTCAAAAAAATTAATAATAATCAAAATAAAAAATTTAAATATCTTACAAGTTTTC
The DNA here is from genome assembly GCF_000001405.40 of Homo sapiens. Taxonomy (NCBI): domain Eukaryota; kingdom Metazoa; phylum Chordata; class Mammalia; order Primates; family Hominidae; genus Homo; species Homo sapiens. The sequence goes on along the minus strand of NC_000011.10, from coordinate 98,527,082 downwards.
ATGTAAAATATTTTTATTATTAACCAAATGAAGTGAAAAAGTTTTCTGTAAGTAGCCTTTAAGTTTTCACATATGATATTTTCAGGATTATTTTCAGTCTTTTCTAAATTCTTATTTCTTTTTGCTAACATATCATTATAAATATATTTTTCAACTTTTAAATATATGAGTTATGTTTTGTTATCTCTGTCTTATGGGATCCTAAATTGCATTATAGCATGAGAAATTGGTCAGTGTGATATCAGTCGCTTAAAATTTGTTATATTATTACATTTTGGATGATCAATTTTGGCAAGTGTAAAGCTAAAAATGATATATATATTGATTAATTCTTGGATATAGAACGATATATGCATATCTCTCAGAAAAGTGATGATCAACCTGTGGTCAGCCAAAAAGTACCAGACTAAAAATTTGTCCATATGTGACAAAGTAAGTACAGTTCACAAAACATTTTTTCTTTTTTATATCAAGAACAATACATTGATTGGTTCTGATGTGTTTCATTTCTCACCTCATATTACAAATAGTTGGTAGCCTGGCTACTTTAAGTAGCACTGTCTTGGGTGACTTTTGTTAATTGTGCTTTTCAAAGCTTCTATGTCTCTACTGATTTTATACCTGACTTATCTAAGAGAGGAATAGGAACACTCTTAATTATATTATGTGCTCCTGAATTTTGACCTGTATTCATATCAATTTTGTTTATTATTAAAATGTGTGTCACTATGATATGGACAGTAGGCAGGGAAATACTGTGTAGAAGAGGGCAGGGTCTCTGGTGAAGCCCCGCTCTCAAGCCTGGACACGCGGCCCAAAGGGGGAACATGTATTCCTGTTTTCCCACCTGAATGTTGCCTTTTCCAACACTCCCCTGTCTCATCCAACCCCATCCTGAAACCATGAAAACCCCAAGCTCCACTGTCAGTGGGTTGGTGCGGCAGAGAAGGAGAGAAGAAAAGAAGCATCTGAACAGTGAGATTAAGCAGCTGGACACATCAGTGACGATGGTCAGAGAAGAGTTCAGCCAGGCATGGCCAAACTCCAGGGAAGACCACCTTCACACTCCATCCCCTTTCCAGCTCACGATACTGCTGAGAGCCACTTCCACCACTCAATAAAATAGTCTGCATTCACCACCCTTCAGTTTGTTCGTGCAACCTCATTCCTCCCAGATGCTAGATGAGGACCTGGGTGCGGGTGCAAGAGGCTGTCACACTGACCCTCCACTGAGCTGTTGAACCCTTAAGCTGTCCATGGATGTCAAAGCTAAAAGAGTGCACTGAAACACATGCCCTCTGGGGCTCCAAGGGTGGTGGGCAACTCCCAGATGCTGCCATGGGCCTGAACAAAGTTCTGCTCCTGATGGTTGCGCAGAAGTGCTTGTCCTGGCCTCTGCACCCACTCACCGGCATGCTCCCGCTCCTGCAAGGATTTGAAAGCTGTGGGCTAAGTAAATGAGCCAACCCCATCACGAGTACCACGTAGGGGTCAAGGGAACTATCCTGTTTCAACTACATTTAGAATTAACATCTACTCCTGGTGAAGGGGGCAATGACCACCTTTAATTCAGTGTCCTTTTTCCTTTTTTTTGAGACAGAGTCTCGCTCTATTGCCCAGGCTGGAGTGCAGTGGCACGGTCTCGGCTCACTGCAAGCTCCGCTTCCCGGGTTCACGCCATTCGCCATTCTCCTGCCTCAGCCTCCCAAGTAGCTGGGACTACAGGTGCCTGCCACCATGCCTGGCTAATTTTTTGTATTTTTAAAATTTATTTATTTTTAAGTAGAGACAGGGTTTCACTGTGTTAGCCCAGATGGTCTCGATGTCCTGACCTTGTGATCCACCCGCCTCAGCCTCCCAAAGTGCATTGGTGCCAACTGTTTTTATTAATTTGCTTAGAAATTAACTGCTATAATTTTATTCTCCAGCTTATATCTACTTTCTGTGTCTTTATGTTTAAATATGTATGTTCTAAACAAAACATAATTGAAATTTTAACATTTAATTCAGCCTGCTAATGCTATTAAATTATAAAATTAAGACTGCGTTTTTGTTACTATTTGTATGTCAAAATTTGTTTCAATCATCTCATTTTACAGTGATTAGTTAAGCAATAATAGATAAGTTATATATAACAGTAATGTGCTGACAGTTATAATTATTGTTTCATAAGGCCAATATTTGTTTAGATTTGTCCACACGTTTACCACTCTCGTGCAGCTCTTTGTCTTACCTCTAAGTCTTTCTTTCTGGAGAAACGTTTCTGCTTGATGGAAGTATATGCTTTCAAGTGACTTAAATGGATTTCTGCATGTTAAACTTTTTCTGTTTTAGTTTTTTGATAATTGCACTACTTCATCCTAAAAATTGAAAGCTACTTTGTTGGATTGCCATTTAATTTAACAGTGTATTTCTCTCATAATTTTAAAATAGTGCATTGAGAGATCATCTACCTATTTGCTGTTATTGCTTTATAGGTAAATTTTTTCCCTCTGGCTCCTATTAAAATATTCTCTTTGTTTTTGATATTCTGAGTTGTCTAATGATAACCTAGGTATAGATTTCTTATTATATTTCCTGATCAGAATGATTTTGCTCCCTGAGCCTATATATGTATATATGCTTTTTTTGTTCAAAACAAATAAAACATCAAAAAACCATGTCCTTAATTTACCTTTTTTGAAATGAAACTCCATAACATTTATTTTACCTTCTCACTCTATGATCCATGTCTCTTAACTTCACCTTCATATTTTATGTCTTTGTCACATTGTACTGAATTCTGCATAATTTCTTCAGAAACAACATTCAGTTAACCCCTTTTCTATTCAGCTGTATATCACCTTCCATTTAATAAGTATTAGACATTAATTATAATTTTGATTTTCTCTCCTTAAATGTTTCGCAAGTTCACAAAAAAGAGCCCACATCGCCAAGTCAATCCTAAGCCAAAAGAACAAAGCTGGAGGCATCACGCTACCTGACTTCAAACTATACTATAAGGCTACAGTAACCAAAACAGCATGGTACCGGTACCAAAACAGAGATATAGACCAATGGAACAAAACAGAGCCCTCAGAAATAATATCACACATCTATAACCATCTGATCTTTGACAAACCTGACAAAAACAAGACTTGGGGAAAGGATTCCCTATTTAACAAATGGTGCTGGGAGAACTTGCTAGCCATAGGTAGAAAGCCGAAACTGGATCCCTTCCTTACACCTTTTACAAAAATTAATTCAAGATGGATTAAAGACTTAAATGTTAGACATAAAACCATAAAAACCCTAGAAGAAAACCTAGGCAATATCATTCAGGACATAGGCATGGGCAAGGACTTCATGTCTACAACACCAAAAGCAGTGGCAACAAAAGCCAAAATTGGGGGATCTAATTAAACTAAAGAGCTTCTGCACAGCAAAGAAACTACTGTCAGAGCGAACAGGCAACCTACAGAATGGGAGAAAATTTTTGCAATCTACTTATCTGACAAAGAGCTAATATCCAGAATCTACAAAGAACTCAAACAAATTTACAAGAAAAAAACAAACAACGACATCAAGAAGTGGGCAAAGGATATGAACAGATGCTTCTCAAAAGAAGACATTTATGCAGCCAAAAGACACATGAAAAAATGCTCATCATCACTGGCCATCAGAGAAATGCAAATCAAAACCACAATGAGATACCATCTCACACCAGTTAGAATGGCAATCATTAAAAAGTTAGGTAACAACAGGTACTGGAGAGGATGTGGAGAAATAGGAACACTTTTACACTGTTGGTGGGACTGTAAACTAGTTCAACCATTGTGGAAGACAGTGTGGCGATTCCTCAAGGATTTGGAACTAGAAATACCATCTGACCCAGCCATCCCATTACTGGGTATATACCCAAAGGATTATAAATCATGCTGCTATAAAGACACATGCACATGTATGTTTATTGCGGCACTATTCACAATAGCAAAGACTTGGAACTAACCCAAATGTCCAACAATGATAGACTGGATTAAGAAAATGTGGCACATATTCACCATGGAATACTGTGCAGCCATAAAAAATGATGAGTTCATGTCCTTTGTAGGGACATGGATGAAGCTGGAAACCATCATTCTCAGCAAACTATCGCAAGGACAAAATACCAAACACCGCATGTTCTCACTCATAGGTGGGAATTGAACAATGAGAACACTTGGACGCAGGAAGGGGAACATCACACAGTGGGACCTGTTGTGGGGTGGGGGGAGGGGGGAGGGATAGCATCAGGAGATATGCCTAATGTAAATGACGAGTTAATGGGTGCAGCACACCAACATGGCACATGTATACATATGTAACAAACCTGCACGTTGTGCACATGTACCCTAGAATTTAAAGTATAATAAAAAATATATATATTAAAAAAACAAAGATAAAACAATAAATAAATGTTTTGCAGGTTCCCTTTTTTAAATTTTCATATATATATATATATATATATATATATATATATATATATATATCTGACCTTTTGGCAGGCTTTTCTCCTTACTTGTGATTTTGATTCCTTCTACTTTTTTTTTTCTTGGTCAGAAACATTTGCACTAGATCTGGTATAATACTTCAAAATTTTAATTTTTTTATGGATCTCATTCCAGTTTTTTAAATTGTGCCTGCTCTTGTTATGATCCATGCATATTTTGCTTTCTCTTTTTGCATTATTAATTTATTGTGGAGTCTAGTTTGTCCTAAGTTTATCTGACAAATTTTTGAGGCTCAATTGAATTTTCGTTGTTGTTGTTGTTTTAGTTTTTTCTTTGTTTTTCTACGATTGGAGTTTATGTCTATTTCAGTTGCCGTGTTTGAAGGCACCACCAAAACAGGTCTAATTTGCATAAAATTATAGACTTTTGGCTAGTTTTACTTTCTCAGAACATGAAAATCGAGTGAATTGCATCCCCAAACTAATGTGAGACACATCTTATTATTCAAATTCCTAAAATAACCTTTCATAATTTTCCCTACCCACCCAGTCCCATCTAAAACAAACATATTTTATTTTTCTTTGTTTCTTTGTTTCTCTTTTCTCTGAGTATGAAAATAGTCAAGGAACTGACCTTTTTGGTCTAAATCAGATGTATTGCACTGTGTAGATGCAAGGCTTTATCTCTAAAACGCCTTAGGTCTTGAGGCCATTAAAACTGAAGTTCCAGGCTATTGGTGAAGTATTATTGAGTCTAATGTCTGCTGTCTTGTGTTTCTATTAAGTCTTTCAGTTTCAAAAGAGTTTCCCTCTTGTCAGTTCATCCACAGAATTAAAGAAATTGTTACAATATTTGTTCCAACATTTTAATGTTTTTTCTATCCAGTACATTTTACAATATTTGATTTCTGATTGTGCCAGAAACAAAGTCCAAGACTTTGAAGCTTTTAAGATAAGTAGTGATATACTCTGTTGCATATTTTCAGAAAATCAATCTGGCAATGTTAATAGAAAATGACTTGGAAAAAGAAATAAAAATCAGATTCAGGAATTTCCACAAAGAAATTTCAAAAATGATGAAAGCAAAAGCTTGACTACTATATATTTTGTGACTTAGGTGATTTGTAAGTGTAGACAGTGAATGCAAAATAGTTTTTTAAAAGTTTGGAGAATAAGGCTAGAAAAGAGAAAGAAGAGAGAGTGAATAAAATAATATGGTAAGTTAGACATTGTAGAAATTTGTTTTAGATGGCTTCTATCCTCTCCATAAACTTTGCAATGAGGGAATCTATGGAGATTTAAAGTAGTAGAGTTAGGACAATATGGATGTTATGTCCCAGTTACTCTAAAGACTGTTTTAGCAAACTAACTAGAGATTAATTTAAAAGTAATGGTACTTCCCTAAGGCCTAGTCATGGTTGCATGAAAGAAATGTGTTGTAGATTCGTTTAGGTCCCTTCCATGCTTTCTCCTCTTTGTAATTCAATACCCATCGCAATACAGTAGAATCAGGAAAATATGAAAGTGAATAAGGTCATATTTTAAAATCAGAGATTGTTAAGGTACAAATGTCAAGGACAAAAGGAAGTGAATCCTCCAATCATAGACCACAACATTGAATTGTATAAGCTTAGTTTAACAATCATGTATTTGCAGTTGAAAAGTTTGTGTCCAACTGTATAGCTAGCCTGAATGAACAATGTAAAGGTTAAAACTGGTTTGGGAAATAGAATTGCTCTTATATTTTATTAAGCATAATAATAACCTAACATTCTATGTTTTAAATATAAGGTACTAAAATCTCTTGTTAAAATTCAGAATGATTTAGGTAATAAAATGGAATAAAAACTTAAAAGTCTTAATTTCTTTAGTTAGTTATTATGAATGAGAGTCATGAAAACATGGCAAATAGGAGTCCAGAGAAAAAGAGCTCCCTGGCATGACAGAAGTTCTCTTGTTTAATAGACAGCTTATATGAAAATATTGAATTAAAAAAGAATGTTTTCCAATAAGTAGACTTACATGAAGACATATTTTGCATTATAATCATAGGAGGTCTGTTTATAAAATAAAACTTTTAGTCATATTTGCACATAATAAACATTCTCACTCTCTCTAATGCTCAATTTAATTTATTCAGGAGTTGGAGGAATTATGTATTTTCCAAGTAGTGTTTTACGTTTCCTTCAATGCATCTTGGAAATCTTAAAAATCAAAACTTCTCTCCCAACGCCTAATGAAAGCTTCAGGTGGGACTAGAGCTTTTTTGGTTTTGCAGAAGAAAAAACAGAATTAGAGTTCTATTAGGGTAAGATTTAGGTATGATTCCAAGAGTTCTTGCCTAAAGAAACTGAAGGTAAAATGACCAAAGCATTGACTAAATGAGAAGCTGCACGGAAGTTTGAGAACTCAATGTAAAGAGAAAACTTAAATAGAAGAAAAATTCCTGGAAGGATCAGAATTTATATCTAGATAAGAATACGGAGCCAAGGACAAAGAAGCATGTGAAAATAAATATTAACACAAGTGCTACCGTATGTAGATTTACTTTGGGAAGTGGTAGACTCTTAGTGCTTTTCGATGTTTTTCTTGATTCAGTAGAATTTCTCTTTCATTTGTGGAACTTAAGTTCAAGCAAGGAGTTAAATCCCAGCTTAAATATTTTAATTTGCAAATGCAATGATAGTTACCACTGAAAGAATACAATTATCACTAAATAAACTCCTCTACATTAGGCCAGGTTTAATTTTGTATTAATTCACTTATTTTATCATATATTTACTTGACAAGTGATATTTTTATATATTAATAGAGTGTAACATGCTGTTTTGATATATGTATACATTTTGGAATAGCTAAATCAATCTATTTATTACCTCACATACATTTTTAGCAGTGAGTACTTGTATATTCATCACAGCACTGTTCACAATAGCAAAGACATGGAATCAACCTACGTGCTCATTAATGGTGGAGTGAATAAAGAAAATGTTGGGTGGATCACCTGAGGTCGGGAGTTCAAGATCGGCCTGACCAACATGGAGAAAACCCGTCTCTACTAAAAATACAAAATTAGCCAGGCTTGGTGGTGCATGCCTGTAATCCCAGCTACTCGGAAGGCTGAGGCAGGAGAATTGCTTGAACCTGAGAGGCAGGGGTTGTGGTGAGCTGAGATCGCGCCATTGCACTCCAGCCTGGGCAACAAGAGCAAAACTCTGTCTCAAAAAACAAAACAAAACAAAACAAAAAAAAAACTAATACACCACGACTGAATACTCTTTATTCCTGGGATACAAAGCTGGTTCAGCATATGCAAATGAATAAATTTCTTCATCACATAAACACAACCGAAAACAAAAATGACATGATTGTTTCAATAGACATATAAAAAGCTTTCAGTAAAATTCAACACACATTCCTCTTGAAAACCCTCAAGTAACTAGGCATCTAAGGAACGTAACTCAAAATAATAAAAGCCATCTATAACAAACCCACATCCAACATCATACTGGATGAGCAAAAGCTGGAAGTACTACCCTTGAGAACCAGAACAAGAAAAGGATGCCCACTCTCACCAATTGTGTACAACATAGTTCTGCAAATCATAGCCAGAGCAATCAGGCAGGAGAAAGAAATAAAAGACATTGAAATAGGAAGAGAGGAAATGAAACTCTCTCTCTTCACAGATAATATGATTCTGTGCCTAGAATACTGCATAGTCTTTGCCCAAAATCTCCTATATCTGATAAACAACTTCAGCAAAATTTTACGAAACAAAATCAATGTACAAAAATCAGTAGCATTTTTATACACCAATAACATCCAAACTGAGAGCCAAATCAAGAATGCAATCCCATTCATAGCCAGAAAAAATAAAATAAAATAAAATACCTAGAAATACAGCCAAATACCTCCACCAGGAAGGTCAAAGATCTCTACAATGAGAATTATAAAACACTCCTGAAAAACTCAGAGGCAACACAAAAAAATAGAAACACATGCCATGCTCATGGACAGGAAGAAAAAATACTGCTAAAATGAGAATACTGCCCAAAACAGTTTATGGAATTAATGAGATTCCTATCAAATTATCAATGACGTTTTCATAAAATTAGAAAAAAAATTTAAAATTCATATGGAGCCAAAAAAAGAGCCTGAAAAGACAAAGAAATCCTAAGCCAAAACAACAAAGCCAGAAGCATCACACTACCTGACTTCAAAGTGTTCTACAAGGCTACAGTAACCAAATAGCACATGGTCCTGGTACGAAAACAGACACATAGACCAAAGGAACATGTTAGAAAACCCAGAAAAATGCTGCATGCCTACAACCATCTGATCTTCCACAAAGGTGACAATAACAAGCAATGGGGAAAGGACTCCCTGTTCAATCAGTGGCTCTGGGATATCTCACTAGCTATGTGCAGAAGATTGAAACTGGACTCCTTCCTTTCACCATGTACAAAAATCAATTGAAGATGTATTAAAGACTTAAATATAAACCTAAAACTACAAAAACCCTAGATGAAAACCTAGGAAATACCATTCTGTACATAGGCCCTGGCAAATGTTTCATGACAAAGTCTCCAGAAACAATTGCAACAAAAAACTTAACACATGGGACTTAATTAAACTAAAGAGCTTCTGCAGAGCAAAAGAAACTAACAACACAGTAAGCAGACAATCTATAGAATGGGAGAAAGTATTTGCAAACTATGCATCCAACAAACTTCTAATATGTACAATTTATACAGAATGTAATAACAAGGGAAAAAACCATTAGTAAATGGGTAAAGGACATCAGCAGACACTTCTCAAAAGAAGGCATACATACAGCCAGCACACACATGAAAAAATGCTCAACATTACTAATTAATATAGAAATGCACACCAAAACCACAATGAGATACCATCTCACACCAGTCAGAATGGCTATACTAAAAAATAAAGAAGGCCGGGCACGGTGGCTCACGCCTGTTATCCCAGCACTTTGGGAGGCCGAGGTGGGTGGATCACCTGAGGCTGATCAGTTCAAGATCAGCCTGGTCAACATGGTGAAACCCCGTCGCTACTAAATACACAAAAATTAGCCTGGTGTGGTGGTGGGCGCCTGTAATCCCAGCTACTTGGGAGGCTCAGGCAGCAGAATTGCTTGAACCCGGGAGGCAGAGGTTGCAGAGAGCCAAGATAGCGCCACTGTGCTCCAGCCTGGGCAACAAGAATGAAACTTCATCTCAAAAAAAAAAAAAAAAGAAAAAATGTAGAAATAACAGATAGTGGTTTCAGAGAAAGGGAATGATTATACACCACTGGTGAAAATGTAGATTAGTTCAGCCACTGTGGAAAGCAGTTTGGTGATTTCTCAAAGAACTTATTTAAAACAGAACTACCATTTCACCCAACAATCCCATTATTGAATACATATCCAAAGGAATATAAATTGTTCTACCATAAAGACATATGTACTTGTATATTCATCACAGCACTGTTCACAATAGCAAAGACATGGAATCAACGTACGTGCGCATTAATGTGGAGTGTATAAAGAAAATGTTGTACATATATGCAGTGGAATACTCTGCAGCCATAGCAAATAATAAAATCATGTCCTTTGCAGCAACAGGGATGCAGCTGGATGTGATTCATATCCTAAGCAAATTAACACGGGAATAGAAAACCAGATACCAAATGTTCTCACTTACGAGTGCGAGGTAAACATCACGTACACAGGGATACAAGGAAGGCAACAACAGACAACAGGGTCTACTTGAAGGCGGAGGGTGGTAGGAGGGTGAAGATCAAAATATTACCCATTCGTTACTATGCTCACTACCCGGGTGACAAAATAATTTGTAAGCCAAACCCCTAGTGACACAAAATGTACCTCTGTAACAGATCTGTACATGTACTCTCTGAACCTAAAATAAAAGTTGGAAAAAAACCCTCTGAGAAACAAAAGAAATATTTTAGAAGAGAATAAGATAGAATTTTTGTTGTCGCTGTTATCGGTTACCTACATACTTGCATACAATCATGACTATATTATTTCTTAATAAGATGAAGGTAAAGACTAAGAAAAAACATATAGTATACTTCTAAGAGTCTCAGTATTGTATTTCACCATATTTAGTTACATTGAGAAGTGTATGTAAACATGTCTACCCTTTATGTCTATCATACTGACTTCTAACAAAAATAAATTGAGCATAACCTAAAGGGTTTTAATTAATGACTTCCCTTTTTTCTTACTCCTTTATCCAAGTGCAGGGCATAGACAGATAACATAAGGTTTGAGTACAAAGTATTCCAGATGGCCAGCATAATTTTTACAATTCACAATTTCTAATTTATATAAACGGAATCACAGTAAGGTCAAACCAATCAGCATTTTAGTTTAGTGTTTGTTTAGCATTTCGTTTTTGTTAATTTAATCGACGACAGGCACATGAAGCATGTGTTTCACTCTTTTTATTATTTTTTAAAGGCACCTGAGGAATCAAAGATGCCAAACAAAAATATCAATATCTTTAATACTCTCTGGTTTTTAAGATGTTTAATATTCCTATTTTCTTCAAACGTGTTTTACTACGGAAATGTAGCATGCAAGGTCACTTCTTAGTGCAACAACTGACCCATGTTGCTCTCTTCTGGGTTGTCATCTGTTGTGCATTGGAACTCGGAGGTAATTCTAAAATGTCACACTAGTTAGGGAGAGGTTTTAATGTAAAAAGGAGAAAAAATTACATTAAAACATGTCAGAGAGAAGTAAGAGAAGAAAAAATTTAAATCTCTTATTCTTGCATTACTTTATGAGCATGTGAAGGCCTGGTGCATTTGCTAGATAAATTTAGTGAGTGGGTTTGTATTCAAGTGAACTGGTATTTACCCACTCTCCTGCTGGTCTCCCTTCTCATGAGGTAAATTTAGAATCAACCTCTTCAGTGCAATAAACTTAAACTCTGGCATCAGGAAATCTGGATTTTTGTGGCAGCCATTGATAGGAGTTGTCTGAGTGTGTCAACTGCCAAATACTTAAAGACACTGGGCCCAAGTGAAGACACACTTTCCACTCCTGGCATGACGGAAGCCACAACTTTTGTGAAAATTTGAGTTTGGTACAACACCCTCAATGGGTTGAAGGTGCTGGACCAAACCCAATCATACTTCCTGTTTTATAATAATTTTTACAGGGTACATCCACCCCCTCATTTGTAAATGCTTCTTTCTCAGTAAAGAGTCACCTAGTTAATCACATCTTTACGTAAGTGACCACAGGGGGGAAAAAAATGCAGAAGCATATCACAATCACAGTACAAGACCTAACATCTGGATACACACACTTTTTGAATACAGTTGAATACACACACAAACACACACACCCCTCACTACACCAGATATTATTTAAACATCATTCAAAACTTGTTCCATTCACACATACATTAGCTGTTTTTTCTTCTCAAACAATTTGTTGTTGGATCTTAAGTATGCACTACATGGATTTTACCAAATCACAAGCAAAAATAAAAGCTTTGGATAACAAGGAGAAGAGTCCAAATATAAAACAGAAAAAAAAATGCTTTGATAAGCCCAGTGGCCTACTTGAGCAGACAGAACCAAAAGAAATATTTATTAACATCTCTCCTCCTCCTTTAGACCTTATAATAAATACAGCACCAACAAAAATTCAACAGCTGAAATCTTGATGCTCGTTCAAGCCTGCCTGGTTACCGAGGCTTCCAGCATATATCAGCCTTCAAACTCATGAATCTCAGTAGGAGAATAAACTTACAATTTGATTAACATACACTCGGGTTTTCTGTTTGGCAAAAGATTGCTACATACCTCTGGCTGATACATAAGCTGTCATTCCAGAAACTCCCTTCAATTCTAAATTAGGTCATTTAATTTAAGTTTTGTGAGAGGATTTTCTATGGATGAAGTTGTACTTCATGCAATTAACTTATCCAATCATTCCTATGTGTCAGGAAATAATCTTTGCTGATTATCTATAATCCAAAAATTATAGTTTTAGGTATCTTTAGGATGGGAGAGTGATATTCAGAAGAGAAAGATAACTGGTGATAGTTAACGGTGATTAAAAGGAAATAATTGCATCACAATAACACTTTTTGAAAGAGCAAACTAGTGCTTTTTTTCAAATTATTAATCCTAGCTATCTACACCATAAAGTAATTTTATTATTCTGCTTCTTTCTCTCTTATCCGTATATGCAAACACATACATGCGTGCACATGTATGTGCGTGCGCACACACAATTTTTGCACAGGTTATATATATTGAGAGAAAATTAAAAGGAGATATTTAAAATAACAGTTATTTACTTTGGGGGAGTAAATTAATTACAGTATTACATCAATTTTAAGAAGTGGAATTAAAAAAATTAGATCTCTTTAATAAATGACATTTTACAATAGCTGTCAGCCAAATGGCTGTAGTATCACAATTTTTATTCCTGATAGCATATCCAAACCAGACAATTGTACTCTCAAAAATTCAGTAATCAAAGCACTTAAGAATGATGAGTTTAAATAGGAGTACTGTTTGTTTCTGAAAACCTCCAATAGGATACTTTGAAAAGAAAACTACAACGTCAAAAGTTTGCAGAAGATTTATCAGGATCTTGGAAGAATATCTTTTAGACTTATACTGTGTAGTAGTGAGTACTGAGCACTTAAAATGTGGGTAGTATAAATTAAGACAGGTTGTAAGTTAAAAATACAGAATTTCAAAATACAGTATATAATAGTATGTAAAAATAATATAAATATTTCAGTACAATTTTTTAATATATATTACACGTTGAAATGATAAAATATTGAATAAATTTGCTTAAGTAAAATATATTATAAAAATAAATCTCATCGGTTTTACAATTTTATATGTAGTAATAAGAAAACTTAAAATTACACACATAGCTCACATTGTATTTCTATTGCACAGTGTTGCTGTAGACTATATGGATCATTTTTTTGCAACACTGCTGCATCAAAAATATTTTGATGGGCCAAAAGATATTATATGGAAAATACAGACATTGATGGCTTTGAGCCAAATAATAATTCTGAAGATTTTGAATGTGAAAGTAATTTTTGAAAAAAATTTTTTAACTTAAGGGTTTGCTAAGTATGGTCCATGATCTAAATCCACCTCCCACTTGTTTTAATAAATAGATGTTTACTTGAACACAGCCATATATATTGGTTTACATATTGTCTATGGCTGTTTTTGTTTTACAATGGCAGTTTTGAGGAGTTGTGATGGAGACATTATGGTTGCACAGCAAAGTATATTTACTATGACTCATTACAGAAAATGTTTGCTGGACCCTGCCTTAAACAACTGATTTTGTTTATATTTTACTTTTTCATATTTGCATAGAAATGATACAACTGTATATAAACATATAAGTAGATAATGAATCCTAAATAATAAAATATGATTAGGCAATTATTTCATCAGCATTTTTATCTTAGATCTTACAAAACAATGTTTTGTGTTACTTCATGTCTGAGAATTGATGAGTAATACTTATGTTAAGCAAAGATTTACTTTCTATTTCTATAAATAAATATACAAGTTTTATTTGCTTAATAAATACTTATCAAGACATTTATATATATTAGGCATTTTAAAATAAATACATAAAATAGATTTTAGGGAATAAGTTTCTATTGTTCCAGAAACTTACAATCTAGAAGGAGGAAAGCAGAACACACAATTGCAGGGGTTAAATGGCATGTAAATTAAAATGCAAGTGTAAGGAAAAGGGGGTTTCCTAAATTTGGGGATGGTTAATAACCTTAATGTCTCGGAAAGAACACTAGAAAAAATTCCAGTAGACTCAAAAACACCAGTATTGAATAAAAAGAAAATAAAAATGTATTAGAAAATATGACATCAACAGCACAGGCAACAAAAGAAAAGATGGATAATTTGGTCTTTATAAACATTTTTTAAATTGTATATTAAAACAGTATCAACAGAGTAAAAAGGCACCCTACAAAATGGGAAAACTAGTTTTGCAAATCATATATCTGATAATGGGTTAATATCAAAATACATAGAGGACTCAAAACTCAGTAAAACAAACAATCTGGTTTAAAAACAGACAAAGGATTTGAATAAACATTTCTCCAAAAAATAAATACAAATATCCAATAAGCACATTAAAAGATATTCAAAATCATTAATCATTAGGGAAAGGCAAATCAAAAGTACAATCAGGAATCACCTTACACCAATAAGAATGACTGCTATCAAGAGGAAAAAAAACATAAAATAGGTGTTGAAAAGACTGTGGAGAAATTGGAAGCCTTCTGAACTATTGGTGAGGAGGTAAAATGGTACAGAAAGTTATGGAATTCCACTTTTAGGTATGTAGTTATAAGATGTGAAAGCAGGAGTTCAGAGGATATTTGTACACTCATGTTCATGGCAGCGTTAATCACAAGAGCTAGGACATGGATGCAGCCCAAGTTCCCATTGAAAAATGAATGGATAAGCAAAATGTGGTACATATATAGAATTGAATATGATTTATCCTTAAAAAGAAAAGTAATTCTGACACATTACAACATATATGAGCACGGAGAACATTACACTAAGTAAAATAAATGAATCACAAAATAAGGTACTTACAGTTTAATCGCAGAGAAATAAAACAGAATGGTGGTTTCCAGAGGATGGTGGGAGTTGAAAATGGGCAGTTGTTATTTAATTGGTACAGAGTTTTAGTCTTGCAAGTTGAAAGGACTCTGGAGAGGAATGGTGATGATGTTGGCATGAAAATATGAATGTACTTAATACCACTGTACACTTACTAAAGGTTCAAAATAGCAAATGTTATTTTATGTGTTTTTACTACAATAAAAATGGAAAAAATATAGGAAAACAAATGTGAGAATTTTTAACTATTTTAGAAAGCAGGAATATTTGCTAAGACTCAAAAACCATAAGGCATAACAAGGTTAACAAATTCAAATAGAAACTAAAATGGAGGCATTTTCTTCAAGAAAAATATTATTACACAGTCAAAGAATGGTTAATAATTGAAATTGAAAAAATATTTACAACTATTACAACAAAAATAACTCAATTAAACAATGGGCAAATATTTACAACAATTTATAAAAGAGTAAATACCCAAATGGCCAATAAGTAAACGGAAACTTAAATAACTTTATTGGTCACAAGAAAAATGAAAATCAAAATCAAAATCACAGCGTGATTTAACTATTTATTTTCCTCAAGGACTAAATGGAAGAGATGAAATACACCAAGCATTGGCAAGCATGCCAAAAAATTAAAAACTTCATACTATGAAAATTCTATTAGAGAACTTCGGAAGAACCCTTCTATACATTGAGTTATGCAAAAACTTTATGACCAAGAACCCAAAAGCAAATGCAAAAAAAAAAAAAATTAAATAGGTAGGACTTAATTAAACTAAAGAGCTTCTGCACAGCAAAGAACAAACAAAAAACCATCAGCAGAATAAACAACCCAGGGATTGGAAGAAAATCTTCATAATCTATACATACAACACAGGACTAATATTCAGAATCTACAGCAAACTCAAACAAATTAGCAAGAAAAAAACCAAACAAATCCCAGCACTTTGGGAGGCTGAGGTGGGCAGACCACCTGAGGTCAAGAGTTTGAGACCAGCCTGGCCAATATGGTGAAACCTCGCCTCTACAAAACTACAAAAATTAGCTGGGTGTTGTGGCGGGTGCCTGTAATTCCAACGGCTCAGGAGATTGAAATGGGAGAATTACTTGAACCTGGGAGGCGGAGGTTGCAGTGAGCCGAGATTGTGCCATCGCACTCCAGCCTAGGCAACAAAGCGAGACTCTGTCTCAAAAAAAAAAAAAAGTCAAAAAGTGGGCTAAGGAAATAAATAGAGAATTCTCAAAAGAAGATATACAAATGGCCAACAAACATACGAAACAAAACTCAGCACCACTAATGATCAGAGAAATGCAAATCAAAAGCACAATGTGATACCACCTTACTCCTGCAAGAATGGCCATAATAAAAAAATCAAACATAATAATGTCAGCGTGGATGCAGTAAAAAGGGAATGCTTCTACATTGCTAGTAGGAATGTAAACTAGTACAACCACTATGGGAAACAATGTGGAGATTCCTTAAAGAAGTAAAAGTAGAACTACCATTTGATCCAGCAATCCCACTATTGTGTATCTACCCAGAGGAAAAAAAGCCATTATATGAAAAAGATACTTGCATATGCATGTTTATAGCAGTACAATTCACAATTGCTCAAATATGGAGCCAGTCCAAATGCCCATCAATCAACAAGTGGATAAAGAAATTGTGGGCTGGGTTCGGTGGCTCACGCCTGTAATCCCAGAACTTTGGGAGGCCAAGGCGGGTGGATCATGAGGTCAGGAGATCGAGACCATCCTGGTTAACACAGTGAAACCCCGTCTCTACAAAAAATTAGCCAGGCGTGGTGGCAGGCGCCTGTAGTCCCAGCTACTAGAGAGGCTGAGGCTGGAGAATGGCGTGAACCCGGGAGGCAGAGCTTGCAGTGAGCCAAGATCATGCCACTGCACTCCAGCCTGGGTGACAGAGCGAGACTCCATCTCAAAAAAAAAAAAATTGTGGTATATATATATACATATATATATACATACACACACACACAATGGAATACTACTCAGCCATAAAAATGAATGAATTAATGGCATTTGCAATCTGGATGGAACTGGGGACTATTATTCTAGGTGAAGTAACTCAGAAATGGAAAACCAAACATCGTATGTTCTCACTCATAAGTGGGAGCTAAGCTATGAGGATGCAAATGCATAAGAATGATACAATGGACTTTGGAGACTCAGGGGAAAGAGTGGGAAGGAGGTGAGGGATAAAAGACTACAAATTAAATTCAGTGTATACTGCTCTGGTGATGGGTGCACCAAAGTCTCACAAATCACCACTAAAGAACTTACTCATGTAAAAAAATACCACCTGTGCCTTAAAAACCTATGAAAATAAAAGGTTAAATAAACAAATAAATAAACCTTCATACATTGTTGATGGGAGTTAAAATTAGTACAACCTGCCTTTATTTGTTTGGGCTGAGTAAACACAACACAACAAAACGAAACAAAAAAACCATAACTGGGTGGTTAAACAACAGACATTTATTTTCTCACAGTTCTGGACGCAAGATACATGATCAAGTGCCAGTAAGTTTAGTTTCTAGTGATGGCTTCTTTCCTGGCTTGTAACAGTAGCCTTTTCACTATGTTCTCAGAAGGCCTTTTCTTGGTATGTCTGGAGACAGAAAAAGCAAGCTCTCTAGTGTCCCTGTTCATTAAGACACTAATTTTCTGTAAAATAAGGGCCTACACTTCTAATGACCCCAGATCAACTTCATTCCTTCCTTACACAAATATAACCACATTGGAGGTTAGGGCTCCAATGTATAAATTTTGAGGGTACACAATAATTTAGTTCAGTGCACAACCACCTTGGAAAATTTTTTGGCATTGCATAAAGAAGCAGATTGCAAATATTGTCTATGATTCAGAAATTCCACTTCTTAGTGTATACTCAATAAACTTCCATTTCATTAAAAGTCAGATTTTAATTATTCAAAAAAGCAGTTAATGATAATCCCAAACTATAAATTAACTCAAATGCCCATCAGCAGTAAATTAGACCAATGAACTGTGGTCTGTTCACATAATGGAATACTGTAACTCAATGACAATGAATTAGTTACCACAAAATGCAAAATTTCAAGAAACTACAAATATAAACTCAGTGATAAATGAGAGACAAATGAGTACATGTGATATGGTTCAACTTTTATGAAATCTGGAAGGTGTAAAAACAAATCTGTGATTCTAAATGTCAACATAGTGCTTGTGATTTGGGTGGTAAGGAGAAGTGGACAAACCATGAACATTGATCTAAAACACCTGAGGTAGTGTTTAATATTGATGAAACTTAACATAGCCATGTCTAGTTTATGAGAAATTTAAGTTCTACACGTATGGTATAGGCAATTTGTTGTATTTATATGATATTTAAACAAAATTGTTTCTTTAATTGTTAATGCAGTAAAGAAATATTTTATGTTACACTGTACTTTGTGTTTAATTACTACGCATTCAAAGTTGTTGATCCGATTTTTTTTGGTCAATAGTAAAACTTTCATTAAGAAATAACATTATGAGGAGGTAGAGCAAGACGGTGGAAAAGAACCCTCCAGTGAGTGCCCCTTCTCCCACATACACAAAGAAAGAACAATTTGAACAAATATCTATGCAAGAAAACACATTCACAAAAGCTAGAAAACAAAATGAGAGATTATAGTACCTGGTTTTAGAATAATAGTAAGAAAAGGCACATTGAAAAGGATAGAAAGGATAGTGTCACATTGCCTACATAATCCTTGCCCAGCCCCAGGAAACACAGTGAAGAGAGAGACTCCCTCCACTTGATGGAGAGAAAGGAAAATGAGAGAGGGACTTTGGGAATCCAGTACACTTTCTTCTGGTGTCCCTGCAGGCTCATTGATTTAGTGACCTCACATACTGTGAGATAATTTCATAAACAATTATCCTCCAGGGCTGAAACTGCCGCAGTGATCATGGACTTAGGAAACTAAACAGTCAGTCCCTTATGAATTCCTGGAAAGTTCTTTGAAGAAGGACACGTACAATCAAGGACAGACTGTGAAGACTAGAGTAAATGTACAATTCTTCAGTGTTCAGACATTGATGCACATCCATAAGCATCAAGAACATTTAAGAAAATATGTCCTAGCCAAACATACTAAATAAAGTGCTAGCAACTTACTCTTAAGAGATGGAGATATGTGATCGGTCAGATGGGGAATTTAGAATAACTATTTTAAGAAATTTGATGAACTTTAAGAAAGTACAGAGAAATCGTTCAGAAATTTATTAGAGAAATTTAAGAAAGAGGTTAAAATGATTTTTAAGATATCAAACATAATTCCTGGGGCTGAAAAATAGAATAAATAACTGAAAAATGCATTAGAGGGTCTCAATAGCAGAATACATCAAAAAGGAGAAAGAATGTGTGAGCTTGAAGACAGGCAATTTGAAAATATATGGTCTGAAGAGAACAAAACAGAACAAAGAAAGCTTATAAGACCCATGGCATAGCATCAAAGGAGCAAATTTAAGAGTTTCTGGCCTTCAAGAGGAAGTGAAAAAAGGAAGGGTGGTGGTAAAAAGTTTAACTCAAAGAGAAAACTTTCTGAACCTAGAGAGAAATGTATATATATATCTAACTATAGGAAGGTGTAAGATTGCCAGTTAGATTCAAACAAAAAAAGACTACTTCAAGAGCATAATAATCAAACTCTCAAGAGTCAATGAAAAAGATAGGATTCTAAAAACAGGAGAAAGGAAGCAAATAACATATAAAGAAGCTCCAACATGCCTGGCAGCAGACTTCTCAGAGGAAGGACAGGAGACAGTGGGAAAACATTCAAAATGATGAAAGAAAACAAAAAAACAACAAGAAAAGAAATACCTCACCACAAATAATGCTGTATCTAAGAAATCTATCCTTCAGACATGAATGAGAAATAAAGACTTTTCCAGGCAAAGAAAAGCTGAGGGAAATCATCACCACCACACCTCTCTTACAAGTAAAAGCAAGTTCTTAATTCTGAAAGAAAAAGATGATAAAGTGTATCAAGAAAACATCTTCAGGGATACAACTTACTGGTAAAAGTAAGTATACAAATTCAGAATACTCTCAGTGTAATTGTGGTGTGTATATCACTAATATCTTTACAGTATAAAGACTAAAGGCAAAACTGTAACTATAAAAAAGACAATAATTGAACAGATAATATAAATATACGAAAATTGAGACAAGTCAAAATGTAGGAGAAATGGAGTTAATGTAGAGGGTTTTTTTTTGTAGTTTTTGTTTGTTTTCTTTATATTTTGTGATCAATGGTAAGCTGTCATTAGTTAAAAATAATTTGTTATAACTCTAAGATGTTTTTGGTAAGCCTCACTGTAACCACAAGGGAAAAACTATTATTGTAGGTTACATCAAGAATAAAAAGGAGAAAATAAACCAGATAAAATCACTTAAGCACAAAGGAAGACATAAGAAAGGAAGAAAGAAGTTACAAAGCAACAAGGAAACAAGCAACAAAATGACAGTAGTAAGCCATTACCTATCAATAACAACCAATTAAAAGACACTTAGTGACGGACTAGATTTGAAAAAAAAAGACTCAACTATATGCTGCCTACAGAAAATTTACTTTCCTATAAATATGCAAATAAACTGAAAATGAAGGGATGAAAAAGGTATTCCAGGCAAATTAAAACCTAAAAGAGCAGGAGTAGCTATATTTACAGCAGATCAAATAGACATTACGTGAAAAATGGTAAAAAGACAAAGAAGGTCATTATATAATGATAAAAGAGTCAATATAGCAGTGGAATATAACAATTGCAAATATATATGCACCCATCACTGGAGTACTTAAATATATACTGTAGTATAATAATAATAGGGGACTTCCACACCCCATTTTCAGCAATGGACAGATTATTCATATCAAAAATCAGCCAATAAATATTGAAGTTAAACTGCTCTAGACAAAATGAACCTAACAAACATTTACATAACATTCCACCCAAAAGCTGCAGAATACCCACTTTTCTCATCAGCACATAGAATATTCTTCAGGATAGCCATATGTTATGCTACAAAATAAGCTTTAACACATTTTTTAAAAATCAGAATTATATGAAGAATCTTTTTTAACCACAATGGAATAACTAGAAATCAATCATAGAATAAACTTTGAAATTATAAATATACGAAAATTAAACAATACGCTCATGAACATATGCTCATGAGTAAATGAATAAATTAAAAAAGGAAACTTAAAATGTCTTTAAGACGAATGAAATTGGAAACACAAAATACCAAAACCTATGAAATGCAGTAAAAGCAGTTCTAAGTGGAAAGTTTGTACATTTGTACATTACAAATGTAAATGTAATCATTTACATTTAAAAAGTATAAAGATCTTGAATAAATAACCTATGCTTCACCTCCAGGAACTAGAAAAACAAGGAAAAAACCCAAAACAGGGAGAGGAAAATTCATAATAAAGTTTAAAGCAGAAATAAAAATAATAGAGACTAAAAAATATACAAGGTATCCACAAAATGAAGAGCTGGGTTTTAAACAGATAAAATTGACTAAAAATATCCATGAATAAACTTAACCAAGGACCTGAAAAATCCCTGCAATGAAAACGATAAAACATTGATAAAAGTAATTGAAAACATAAAGAAATAAAGAAATCCCACATGTTCATGAAGTGGAAGAATTAATATTGATAAAAAGGCCATATTGCCCAAAGTGATCTACTGATTCAATATAATCCTTATCAAATTACCAATGACATTCTTCACTGAAATAGTATATAAAATCTTAAAATTTATATTGAAAATACAAAAGACCCCAGATAGCCAAAGCAATTTTGAGCAAAAAGAACAAAAATGAAAGCATCGCCCTACCTGACTTCAAATTATATTATAAACATATAGTGATAAAGCTGCATGATACTGACATCAAAACAGACACATAGACCCATGGAACAGAATAGAGAAACCATAAATAAATCCATGCATTTACTGACAACTGATTTTCAACAAAGTTGCCAACAACACACATTGAAGAAATAACAGTCACTCAAAAAATAGTGCTGAGAAAACTGGATATTCACAAGCAAAGGAATGAAACTAGACCCCAATCTCTCAGAGTAAACAAAAAGCCATTCTAAATGAATTAAAAACTTAAACGTGAGACCCAAAACTATGAAACTACTAGTAAATAACAAGGGAAATGCTTCATGGAATTGGACTGGGGAAGAAATTATTGGATAAGACTACAAAAGCACAGGCAGCAAAAGCAAAAATAGACATATGGAATTACTACTAAATTATTACTATGAAATTATTACAAACTAAAAAGCATCTCCACAGGAAAAGAAACAAACAACAGAGGGAAGAGACAATCTACAGAATGAGAGAAAATACATGCAAAATATACATCTGTTAAGGCATTAATATCCAGAATGCATAAGGAACCCAAATAACTTAATAGCAAAAAACCAAAACCAACCCAATTAAACATGGGCAAAAACTCCTAATAGACATTTATCAAAGAAGACATAAAAAATGGCCAACAGGTATGTACAAAATACTCAAAATTGTCAGTCACCAGGGAAATGCAAATCAAAACCACAATGAGATATGACCTTACTCCTGTTAAATTTGCTATTATCAAAAACACAAAGGATAAGAATTGTTGGTGAGAATGTAGAGAAAAAGAAACCCTTGCACATCGCTGGTGGGAATGTAAATTATTATAGTCATTTAAAAAAAACAGTAAAGATGTTCCTCAAAACCTCTTTATTTTTATTTTAAAAATATAACTGCCATATGATTCAGCCATCCCATTACTGGGAATATATTCAAAGAAAATAAAATCAATATGACAAAGAGCTACTTTACTCCCACATTTATTGCTTCACTATTTACGATAGCCAAGATATGGAATCAACCTAAGTGCTCATCTACAGATTAATAGATAAAGATATATATATGTATATTTGGAGACGGAGTCTCGCTCTGTCACCCAGGCTGCAGTGCAGTGGCACAATCTCGGCTCACTGCAACCTCCACCTCCTGGGTTCAAGCAGTTCTCTTGCTTCAGCCTCCTGAGTAGCTGGGACTACAGACGTGCACCACCATGCCCAGCTAATTTTTTAATTTTTAGTAGAGATGGGGCTCTACTAAATATATATATATAATATATAATTATATATTATATATTATAATATATTATATATATACCACGAAAAACTATTCAACCATAAAACAGAATGAAATCCTGTCAATTGCTTCAACATGGATGAACCTGGAGGACATTATGTTAAATGAAATAAGCCAGGCACAGAAAGACAAATACCACATGATTTCATTCACAAAATTGATCTCATAGAAGTAGAGAGTAGAGGCCGAGTGCGGTGGCTCACACCTATAATCCCAGCACTTTGGGAGGCCAAGGCTGGTGGATCACCTGAGGTCAGGAGTTCGAGACAAGCCTGGGCAACATGGTGAAGCCCCGTCTCTACTAAAAATAAAAAAATTAGCTGGGCTTGGTGGTGCACACCTGTACTCCCAGCTACTCAGGAGGCTGAGGGAGGAGAACGGCTTGAACCCAGAAGGTGGAAGTTGCAGTGAGCCAAGATTGTGCCACTGCACTCCAGCCTAGGTGACAGAGCGAGAGTCCATCTCCAAAAAAAAAGAAAAAGAAAAAAGAATAGAAGTAGAGAGTAGAATGGTGGTTATCAGAAGGTGAGAAGAGAATGAAAGGGGGTTGAGAGAGGTTGGCAAACAGATACACAGATACAAAGTTATAGTTAAACAGGAAGAATATGTTGTGGTGTTCTATTAACACAGTAGGGTGACTATAGCTAATAACAATGTCATATTTATATTAAGATTCCTAGAAGAGAAGATTTTGAATGTTTCCACTGTAAAGAAATGATAAATGTATAAAGTAATAGATATGGTAATTGCCCTGACTCGGTCATTATACAATCTATGCATCACACTAAACCCAGTAAATATGTACAATTATATGTCAATTTTAAATGAAACTTTAAAAAGATAAAAAGAACATTATGACTCTCAATAAAAATAAACACTAGCTTTGAAATTATTTAAAATTCCATTAAATTAGCATTAAAGGTATCTTCATAAGCACAAAATGGATCACACAAATAAATGAAATAGTCATGTACAATACAAATGTAAAAATCAAGCAACATTTTATAATGTAGAAAAAGATGGACTAACTGATATGGTAACCAAAGTAACAGCAAGAATACTGTAATCAATAAAATTATATTACAGAATGCAACAAATAGGAGAAAATTACAGAAGCCAGGTATCACTGTAGATAATAGTAAACTTGGGGAAGATAATCATAAATAATTTCTGACTATACGAGAAGCCAGACTCCAGGATGCTCCAAGCAGCATGGAATTCCTCATCTACTTCTTATTTCGAAACCATAAAAAGTAGGTTTATCTGGTGAAAAGTTATACAGAATTACTCTAGTCATTTTGGAACTATGCTTAACTGAGTACTATAAAACTCTACTAGAATAAAAAGTAATAAAATGAAGGTCTACATCCAGAAGTGTGGGGGCTCATCGCTATTGATACCACTTAGCTCTCCGAAAAGTTGGAAAGCCAGGATTATACCACATAGCAATATACTAGAATATTTATCTTTCAGAAAGTAAATAAATCAAGAAAAATACAAATAAATAGTATAACTGGGTCTTTTATAATGAGGAGTCTAGCCAGATGATGAGACTTATCTTTGTATTATACCCCACACATAAACATAAAATGTTAGAATCTACTTTTTTTTCTTGGTACTACATCCCCATATATAAACAGACACCAAAGGATCCTCAAATATGTGGCAAAATTTCTAACCTTAATAATGGTAATAATAAAATACCAAAAATAAAGCCCTCACCGGATTTGATGTGTGTATATGTGTGTTTAAGTTTTGAGGAGATAAGATAGTCAACTGAATTTGTAATATGGAGTGTTACAGTCAAAGGAAGAACACAGAGAAAGCCCATAGTATAGACTAAAATGCATATATGTCCTTTTGATTCTTTCACTGAATAAGAATTAAGGCCTACACATTATAAAATTCAACAATGTTAGGCAAAGAACAAGAGAACTGTAACATCAATGATTACCAGAGCACACAAAAGATCAGGAGATGCTCAACTGCCCATTAGATTAGAGAGATCACATTGAATACCTGGAACGTTCTCTAGATACACAAACATCACAGTAGTTTATATTTCCTAGAGTAACACTTATTCAACTGCTGCCGATAAAATGATCAAGCTGGTCCTCAATCAAATTAAATGCTTTTCAATACAAATTTTAACATTCTTAATTCAGAATGGCATTATTTACATACTAGAAACATAATATTCACACGAATGAGATAATGAAATTAGCAAACAGTTTCCAGTAGCCCTTAGAAATATGCTTAAAGATTTAAAGGAAATTATGAACATAGGGAGGAGAGAATTAAAAGACTTAAATAAAGAAACAAATGAAATATAAGTTCTAATATATTGGACTGACACCAGTAGCTAGTGGTGTATTGGTCACAGAACATTGAATTCTGCTACTGGCAGATTGTGTGTGTGTGAAGTATAATATTCAGCTGTGACTGTGACTACTGTTATTTTACCTAGATCTACTATTACATTGGGCCCACTGTGATGTACATCAACAAAATAGATGCCTTGGGCCATATGTCTTACAATAAGAAAACTCATGACTGGACAAGGATATACCTGACAATGCTATAGAAAGTCCAAAGCCTTCTAAGACCATGCTTAGCAGTAAAAACAGAAAGAATAGTTGAAGTGGAGCCTCCTGCTGTCTAAATTTTACAAAACAAAAAAAAAAAGTGAGTAAGATTGGTGAAATAAAAACTATATCCAGCACCCTCTCTACAAAGGGGATCTGTGAAATGTTTACAGCTTTTCAGGCAGAAATGAAGTAATGGTAGCTACATTAGAGGGTACTGAAAATAGACACTGAATAGTGCCAATTTACAATATCCACTGCCCAAAATCTCAAAAATAATCTTATATTCATCCCTTCCTGGAAAATAGTCTGGGATATACTTTATCAAATGAGAAATAAAGAGAAATATTCATGGAGTTATAAGACAAAAAAATTAACATAGGAGAAATGATAAGGAAATTCCCATGATATGCTGAAGGGAGATCCTATTAAACATAGAGAGGAAACAGCCAGATTTAAGTGGGAAGACAAAGACCCAAGAAGAGATGTCTCAAAGAAGTGTTTTAATATGATTCAGATATTATCTCAGAGAAAATAAAAGGAAGCATAAGAAAATAAATATACCCAAAGTGTCAAATGTAGCTGATATGTGAATAATATTTACATAGTCACAATAATATATAACCTAGGGGTTGATTGACCAAAATATCTGATATAATCCCTATGTGTGCACAGAAAAAGGGAAGTTTTTTGTTTTGTTTTGTTTTTGGAATGGGTGTTAGGGAACTGACTATTCACCTTGTATAAGGGGGAGCCAAAGGAATTCTAAAACAGAGAAGTCAAGTAATGACAATACAAAGATACTATTGAAAACATGGAAATAAACATCTAAAAAGTAGTTAAAAGTGTGGAATGCTATTGCCTACATAGAGCGAGAAACCCAGAGGAAATGGACTGGAGATTACTGATTATTAGGAGAAAATGGTCTAGTGGGAAGGATGAATTCAGACTCTGACACACAGGAGAAAGGCGGCATAATCTTTGTGACCTTGTGCAAAATAAAAATGCCCTTGTGGCTGTGGCTCCCTGTGTGACTGCAAAGTTCATTTGTCTACGAAACCAACCTAGACCAACACTCTGAATTCTCTCTGGTGTTTTGTTAAGCATCCAGTTGTATAGTTACGCCTAGAACTCAGGAAAGAGAACTAAGGAGGATCATACATTTCAGTGAAATCAGTATACAAGCAAGAGTTAAAGCTAGGAGAACAAATAAAATTTCCTTGGAAAGTATTTGGTAGATAAAGAACAGAAAACAATCTAAAGAAGAATCCTAAGAACAACATAATTCATTTCACCCTGATGGTTTCTAGAAAAATCAATTTTGTGTAGAGGAAAATATTCCTCCTCTGGCCTTATGGTCTTTTTATTGGATCTGCTGCTCACAACTCTCAACTTTAAACTTCTCTTTGGCTTTAAATTTAGTCACATTTTCAGATAACCTCTTAAATGCCACACGTTTTCATAAACATCTTAGAAAATGACTACTGTTTTATAGAAAACATGAATATTTATGAATTTTTAAAGAACATGGCATTCTTTTAGAGAAATGCCTAATAAATTTATAATTACCATACATTTACAACACAATTTCTATAAACAGAGACAAATTCATGAAGAAATCATAAATAAGAAAACTAAGGGGTGAGAGGAGGGGGAACCCTACATATTATCTTTCATGCTTTCTTTTTTGTAAAATATAGAAAGTTTAATTTTGCATTATGGTAATTTTAAAAATAACCTTCAATTGTGTTTTATTATGATTTCTTTCTTTAAAACAAATTAATTTTTATACCTTACTGTATATAGCTTACACAAGTTAAAAAAAGTATGTAATTTTCTAAAAGAGTATTACTGGTGAAATTTCTGCTATTATATTTACTTACTGCAGATTAACATGTCTGAACCTTGGCATTTTTGGCATTTAGGGCCAGATAATTCTTCGTGTGCAGAAGACAATGTAGGATGCACTTAGGGATGTATGTAATGTTTAGCAACATCCCTGACCTTTATCCACTTGATGTCAGTAACATCCTCCACCAACCCCAAGTTGTGATAATTAAAAATGTCTCCAGACATTTGTCCTCTGGAAGAGAAAATTGTTCTTGTCTGGGAACCACTGTTCTACATTTAAGAAAAATTTCAGGTCTACTCAGAATTGAAATCAAACTATTAGGATAAAAATCACTATAAGATGATTTATAATCCATTTTGGGTATTTTGAGTATTTAATTATATGAATGCTTATTAATATTTTGTGAATTATCATAATATGAGGTTTTTTTCTTTTATTGTGAGTTACTATAGCTCTTCTATATTAGAAATCATATTGGTAATAGTTCTTGCTGGGCTGTAAATGAATAACAGAAATTAAGTAGTGGCATTGAGCAAAGGGTATGATTTAGATCTTTTTTTTTTTTTAAGCAGAAGCTTGCTAGTAAAACATTAAATTAACTTGATTCTCCGTCCTGCAGGCCTTTGTGAATCTTTCAAACAAGTGATTTAGGGTTGGAAAGAAGAGACACAAACGAAAAGAGCATCTTCTTTTCAGCAGTTTTGGAAATCAGGGCCCCAGTGTTTCTTAGAATTGAGAGGTACAGGAACCTATTTAGTGAGTGTCATTTGGGGTATCAAGTAAGTAGTGAATTACATGTTTATTCAATATTACACTTCCAACTCAAAGGATGACAATATTACATTTCCAATTCAAAGGATAAAACTTTATCTGTTGTCATCAAACAACATAAAGTGCCATTAGATGAGATTGCACTGAGCCCAGTCAACCAGTATTTTGGATACGATAGATAATAAATACTCTGAATTAAGCATGTATTTATGTAGTCAAGAAACAGTAAAATCACTGTGGCTAGAACAGAATAATAGAGGGAAAAACTGAAGGCAACTCTTCCTCTTAATAATCGCTAGGACTAATTTGGATAAACAAAAATGGAAGCAAGAGACTAATTGAGGAAGCTTCAAAATTAAGGCTTAAGGGTGATCAATTTACTGGGTAAATGGTGGTACTATTTATTCAGATAAAGCACACTAGCAGAAAAAGGAGAAATACAATGTCTTAGCCTGAGCAATTGGATGAATGGTGTTGCAGCTTAATGAGATAGGAATCCCTAGCATAGGAGGTATAATTGACAAAACAGGGAATCAATTGTATACCTTTGGGATCTTTTAAGTTAGATACACTGATCAGAAATCCAAGTGGAGATGTCAAGTAGTCAGCTGAATACAGTATAAGGTTCTGAAAGGTAGGTAGGAGGTCAGAGCTGGAGATTAAAATTTACCACTCACCATTATATCACTAGTATTTAAAGTAGAGGAAGTAGGTAATGAGCTTACCTAGGGAGTGAATGTTTCTAAATAAGAACGTGACCCAGTCCTAAGGCTTTCCACTGCTTCAGGTTGAGGAAATGGGAAAAAACAAAGTAAGCAAAGATGATTGAGAAGGTGCTACCACTGAAGTAAAAAGAAAATTCGAGAATGTGTTATATCTGAAGCCAAGTGAATAAAAGGAAAGTTTATAAAAAGAAGTGAGGAGCTGGGTTAGAGATGAAATAAGACACAGATTGGTGACTGAAAAAAAAGATACATGTGCTGTATTTTAAATGAATAAAGTTGCTTTCTATTATCCCCTTGTCCAAGGTTATAGCCTTATAAGAAACAATTATCATATAATGATCTTGCTACTATAAAACTAATTTCCTATTTCAGCATTGATGTGAATATATTTAGCTGACTGAAAGGGATGGAGGAAATACAGGCATAATTTTTTTGTAATGGGTTGAGTCTAGAGAGGCTACCTCTCATAAGAAATAATAAAGCCTGAAATGAAAGTTCACAGAAGATTCCAAGCATCCATAACTCAGACACACGGGGATTAGAATTTGTGCTACATATGGGTAATATAAACCACGATAAATGTACAGCTTTGGTTATATTCGACAATTTGTGTTAGATGATGTCAATTTAAAAACATACTGAAATTAGTCTTAGTATTTTTCCTCTTAGGAAAAGTACATCTATATAGGAACAACAAATTTAATAATTTATCTGTAATTAAAGCTCTAATATAACAAATTTTACAATAAGAAAAAAATACGGTTTGTGAATTCACACAGTTTAAGTGCAGAGGCTTATTAAAGGAATCTGGGACTTCAACACTAGGTTGTGGCTCCACTGTCTGAAGAAATTAAGTCTTCAATATCATGTATCAGGTAAATGCTAAAATATCTTTTGAACCATGTTGACAAAAATTGAGCTGTAGTCAGCATAGGGTGACAACACAGGCAATTTTCTAACTTTCCTGCTGAAAAATAAGCATGCGAATTATTTAGTTTGATGCTTCCTTGTTAAAAAAGAAGTTGAATCAATAGTGGAATTCATAAATTGTAACAATTATTTACTGGACCTTTATGTTTCAGATATTTTGCTATATTTATGATCGAAATTGAGTTTGAAGTAGTATATAATATAGGAATGCTTTCTGATCATTTGCAATTCATAAAGAAATGACCTACAGACAAGATTAGCATACTTAAGGAATTAATTATTATTACATTTGCTTCTCTTCATTGAGTCCATCCTAAAAGCCAGCCACTGGTAATTCTTACACGTATTACCTCATTGAATCATCTTAACAATCCTGCAAGATAATTACCCTCATTTATAAATGTGAAACTAAGGCTCTGTGACTTTAATGAGGTCATTTCACTAAGACATTAAAGTGTTTCAATAAGGTGGAAGTAATGATTTTGTCAAAGCTGCTGAGAGTTCAAGTAAGAGTAAAACATATAAATGATTAAATTTGGAAAAATGGTATTCACTGATAAAGCTAAAAAGATGGTGTTGGTAGAGTCAATCATTGGTGAACTTTCTAAGAATGGCACATTTAGAGTCAGGATAGTAGTTATTCATGTACTTAAATAGAATGGCTTCAGTAGGGAATAAATACCTAATTGGAGATAATTAACAACAGAATAGGACACAGAGAATTAAAAGCAGTAACTATAAACAACTTTCCTGGCAATTGCCTATAAGATGGAATAGATAATCTATCAATTGTCTAAATAATAGTGCAAGGGAGTGAGGAAGGAAAACAGAGTCTGGAGGCAGGGAACATAAGGCCAATTCACACTTCAGCTGTAACAGGAAATATCCTCTCCATAGGGTATAGGCCATGTAAACGACTTTGTAACTTTACTTCTTCCTCTCCATTTACATAGGGCATACCTCAAATAACCAATGGAATCCTAGCAGGTATTTAAACTCTCAAAAATTCTGTAACAGGGACTTTGAACTCCTATGCTCGGGCCCACTCCCACACTGTGGAATGTAGTTTCATTTTTACTAAATCTCTTCATTCCTTCCTCGATTTGTTTGTGCATTTTGTCCAATTCTTTGTTCAAGACGCCAAGAACATAGACACTCTTCACTGTTAACATATTTTGGCGAGCTAGCCAGGAGGAAGAGATAAGCCCAAAGTCTGGGATTTATTCTTCTCCTTTCTCCTTTTCCTTTCTGCTCCAAACAGGCGAATCTCTTTCTCTCTCTTTTCCTTTCCAACCTGGGACCCTTGGTGGGCAGCACCTAAACATGGAAGCAACTGCAGGTTTCTGGCCATGGTCAGTGAAACTAAGGGGTTTCCACAGGCAAAGCCCAACCACCACTGCCCAATTTGCTTAAGGAATCTGGGTCTTTTTCATTTTTTTACTCTTCTTTTTTTTTTTTTTTTTCCGTCTTTCAATGGCTGTTTCCTAGTAGCTCCTTGGAAACTGAGGACAATTGGCTGAGGTCACTCCCCAGTGTTGCCTGAAGGCCTAGGAACAAATGGGAATAATTGCCCTACCCAGAAGGGGAAAGGACTTTTTAAAAATCTTTTCCACACCTGGTCCCTGATTCCTATGTGTGGTGCAGTTTGGAGCAAACTACCTGTTTCAGGTGACTCAAACTTTCTTTTCTTATGCTAAATTCTTCACTTCCCCTATTCAACTGGCTAAGGGCAAAGGAAACCCACCAAGCCTCCAGTTCCTGTCATTAAAGTTTATGGAATGGGATAAGTTATGGAATGGGATTTGATAAGCGTGGCCTTATCAAATTATAAGGATGCTAAAAGTCGAGTTTTACACCCAGGAAACAGCTCACAGTAGGCTCTGGAGGGAATGCATGCAAAGTGGCACCGGTGCCCACCTAAGGCCAAGAGACATCTGGAACTCTTAAGATTGAACCCCACAGGAGGACACTCGGAGGGGATCATCCGGAACTCAAACTTTCCAAAGAAGATGCTCTCTGCAGAGGTGAGGTACAGTAATGAGCCCTCCTTAGAATTTTCTCTCGCAGTTGCAATGCTGCTTGGCCCCAAAATTGTTTAGAATCTGAAGTTTACTGTCTAATGGGAAAGTGGGATGGCATTGCATGTATCCAGGCTTTTGTGCTGCTGTTCTAACCTTCTTTGGTATTCTTTGGCCCCAGTGCTCCTGGGAATCTGGGGAGGTTTAGCCTTTAAACATCTAACTGTCACAGAGACTGCTTTACCTGAAATTTTGGTTCACAGCCTTCCTTAAATTATCCATTGGGGCAAAGTAAAACTGGCAAGTTTGTATTGCTATCTCATGGCTAACGTTCCAAGCTATTGGATCTTTGTATATATGTGTGTATACACGTCTAGATGTGTTTACTTGTATGTACACTTATTGTTATATGTTGTGTCTACCACATTGGCTTCTAAATAAGAGAGCATTCATAAATTAAGTAAATAAGCAATTTTTGAGTTCATGTGACCTAAGTATAACTTTACTAAACAAGCTAGCTTTCACATTATTGGTGGAATAAAAATAGGCCTTCAGAATTGTCAGCATACATTTTTTTCTGAATTTTATGTTTGTCTTTGCTAGATATTTTAAAATGTCAGTGTTAATTTAAGCTGGGAGATGCATGGGGTGAGCCTGCCTCCCATTTTACTCACAGTCTCACTGAGATAAATCCATGTATGACGGCTTCCTTTAAAAAGACTAATCAGAAACTCAAAATAATGCAACCATTTGTCTCTCACGTATGATCTGAAAGCCCCCAATCCCCCTCCTCGCCTTTCCAGACCAAACTAATTTGTAATGTTTTACGTATGTGGATTGATGTCTCATGTCTCCCTTGTTAAAAGTAAAAATTAAGTACGGTGAATGGGATAAATGTTTTAGGTAAACGTTTTGGGTCAATTAAAATCTTAAAGTTATTTTTGATACTCATTTAATATCTGAGTCATTTCCAATTAAGAAAGGGTTGTGATAGGGGAAATATGTTTCTAAAATTGTGGGATTGTACTTATGTATAAATGCCCATATCTGACAGTTCAGGATTTCTTGCTTTTTAGGGTTTCACTAAAGTTTTAGGTTACTAAGGATAAAAATGTTAGTTAACATGTAATTCTGTATAAAAAATGCACCGAAAGTGTTATGTTACTAGTGGAAAAAAAGAATAATTTTGTCTAATTCAGAAGTTATCTAAAAGTTAGCTCAAATTACAGAATTGAAAAGATTATTTATGAAACTAGTAAGGAATCATTAAGTAGGGGAGAAAGATGTGGAAAGAGTTTAAATAATAAAATATTATTTAAATCCTGATAGAGAATGAGAGACATTTGACTAATAAATATTTTCATAGTTAAAGCTCTTAGTCTTAAAGTAAAATAAGAAGTATTGTAAAGAAAGGCATTGACAGTTCGGCAATTTTTTTTTTTTTGATACCATTAAGCATGGAGCTGAATTTAGTGTGGAGCCAAATTTCACATACATGCTTGCGTTGCTTCACACTATGTTTACTCTTTTGCATGGATAGTGCTAGAGTACTAATTGGTCATGTTCCCAAAGTGAATTTCTTGATTACACAGGATGTATGATGATATTAGTAAACTTAAGAATATTAAATTGTATATCAGGAATAAAATATTCAGTATGTGGGGTTTTGGAGGCCTTAGATAACACTGTACTCTCCAGGATAAATTGCATAGGAAAATTGAGGGCCGGTTTTCTGTTTATTTGTTTTTGCTTCTATTTTTAATTCATTTGCTGTTTATTAACCTCTGGCTTTGCTTGTGTATCCATATATATAAAACCATGATCCTTTTTAGTTTCTAGTGGAAGGCTTTTATTTCGTTCTGTGAATAGTTATTTTGTTTCATATGCATTTCTAGCAAGTCATCATCCATTCCATTTATCTGGAATGCCTAAGCTACCTTTGTCAGGCTGCAGGAATTAATGGAGCACACCAGCTTTTTATCCTTAAACTAACTTTTTGGATTTTAGGCTTCCTGATACTTTAAGTGTGTTTAGTATACTGTTACAAATAGAATTTAAGTCATATCTCTCTTTATGGCTAGCTTCTCCAAAATTTGTAAACTATCTATGTGTATTCTTAATTCATGGCAATGTGTTTGTTTGCATATTGTCAAGCAGGGTCTCCAGGGCCGCTCAGGGAGAGAGAACCCACAAACCTAGCATGCTGGCAAAAGGGTAAGAATTTCTTACCAGTCAGTCTCTGGCCTCTTTCTCTCTGTGCAAACTGGTTAACCTCCTCTGCAAAGTTTTAAATTAATGGTTTAATAATAATAAGAGATTACATCAAATATTTTGTCAGAAAAGCATAAAGTGTAATGCCTTTTAGTTGATGTGGCTTTAGCAATCTTTGGGAAATAAAGATGGTTTTCAAGATTATTGGTAAAATACAAATGTCTTCAAAATGTAAACATGTGGTCTAAATTATGTTCAAATATTAGGTTTGCTAAATGCTTTAAGGTCATAAACTGCTTTTTTGGCTTTTAAAATTTGTTTTACTTGTCTGCTTTCCAGCTAGGTAAGACTTGGGGACATGTGGAGTTGGCCACGCCCCTAGCTATGTTGGAAACAGTCAAGCCTTATCAGAACATTACTTACTAGGCCTTCCATTAAAATTCGCCATTATAACATGCAATTAAGACTACTAAAAACAGTTTTACATGCAAAGTGTGCAAGAACAGTAGAATGTGGTTTCTTTTTAAGGTTATAAAAGGTTTTTGCTTCTTTAAAATTTGAGTCATCATTTTGGCAAAATAAATAATTTATGGTAATCTAGAATTCTAAAACCAAACTTCAGTTTCAAAATTGTCTTTCATAAGGCCTGGCTTTCTGGATGAGGGCCCCTGAAAACATCCAGAAGAAAAGTAAACAGGATTATTTTATGTGTTTAGGTACATGGAGTTGCCAAAATGATGTTCAATCTTCTTTAGGTTATATTTTTTTGAATAATACTAATACATATTCCTAAATTTTATGGGATTTCTAAAATTCTAATGTCCAAGAATATGCTATCAATTATAATTATGGTTACTATGTTAAGTTATTGTAAACCACAAAAATAACCAAATTTCCTTGTCAGTGCTATGCACCTAATTTGGAAAAACAACTGGTATCCAAGACGATATAAGCCAAATGTTAATTAAGCATGGATTCACGGAGAAACGGATGGCCACTTTGTCCTTCCTGAGTCCTTAAAGCTTTTATTATTAAAAGTTCTGCATTCCATGACTCATTATGGAAAAGATATAATGATCCAAATTGAATACTTTGGTGTAGTGACTTACAACTTACAAAAATAGTTTATAACCAATGCTTGATCCCATATTCCTGGAAAAACAAAGCTTCAGGTACATTTGGTCACCTGGTGGGACATTTAAACATTTTGTAAAGGGATTTCATTCAATTGTTATTTTCAATGCATGTTTTCTGCTTGTCTAAAAGCTTTCCCATGGAAGAGGGCTGATGTTATAAAAGCAGATTATTATGCTATAGTGTATTTTCGCCAGGTAAAAAAGCTTCTTATGGCTTGGATCTTCCGAGAATATTGGAGAAAGACTATGCTTGCCATCCACACTATAACAAAACTTCAGGACCTTGGGCTTTCGGTTCGTGGTCTTGCAACTGAGAAGGGTCCTTCCACACTTTTGGAACTGTGCACCCATTGGTACCCTTGAGGTAAAGCTAACCAGGGAAATTTCTCCCAAAGAGAAGACAGCATCCTTAATGTGAACAGTTTTTCCCAAGTTCACAGATTAAGACTTCTACTGTCATGAAACTCTTATCTTTGAATGTTTTTTCTTGCTTGTGTCTCTGTGAACAATAGAAGTGGAAAAGGTGTCGGTTTTGTGCACTTATGGGGTGTACTTTTATTTGTGAAGGAGTTTGCAGCCTGCCTTATACATGGATAAACGTATACTTTGATAGATAAAGGATGAAGGCCGAGTGTAGGTAAGACACTTTAATGGTACATGTGTTGCCTCATAATCAGTCAAAAACAAAACACTGGTTCACTCCTCTTAACCCACGTCATGGGTTAAAGGGAACATTGCCAGGAGGCCTTCCTTCACCCTTCTTCTAAAAGGGCCTCATTTGTTAGGTCCTTTTCCCATGGTTTAAAATAAAAGAAGCAATGATTAGAAATGTACCCCTCATGATAGGTTCTATAGCAAATTCTACTGTAGAGGCTACAGTCACACAACAGACTTTAAATTCTCTTGTGAAAGCTATGCTAAATAACAGAATTAGCTAAACAGAAAAGTTACCTGTGCAGCTGCTGGCACTTGTAGCCTATGAGGAAATACATCAAGTAAAGATTATAGAAACTAGTGGTAGGTGATTGATGAAGAATTTGCTTAGTCAAGTGAGTAAACTCTTTAGTTCATTCTTCGATTTGTTTAATTTTAGGAGGTTTGGTTTATGGGACCTTGGGTAAGGAGCACACACCAAACGCTTGGTATCATCCTCCCAATAGTCATAGTAATAGTCTCCCTGGTGTGCTGTATTCTCTCAAAGGTTTTAAATGTTTGCATGCAGCCATCTCTAGAATGTCATATGGACTCTCTTCAACTGGAATAACAAGTGCTGAAAGAAATGTGCAACTATGAGGACACTGTAACCTATGAATGACATGCTGAGACCAGAAACCCAAAATGATGGTAACTGAGAGTGGGGCTAAGGCCATAAGTTTTAGTCACACTCTCGTCTAAGTGAAAACCTGACCAAAAAAGGGGATTTTTTTTTTAAACAAAATTATGAGAGGCCATTGTTTTGGACTGAGCTCATGCACTAGGCCCCAACAAACCAAACCAAACCAAAATGGAGTTGCTCATGCTAAGACTTTAAGGAAACACATGGATTCCAGAACAGACCAGGGTTTGTTTTTCTTCTGTAAATCTCTATAACAAACTTCTCTGGCATCATAGGTATCCACTCCCTGAAGTTCCCATGAAATCTTTTAACCAAATTCATTTCCTCTCACCTAGAGACCATCGAGCTTCAGATGATCACTCAACAAAGGCTCCAGCAAGTTCCAGGTGAAGACACCACCCCTGGCCATCAAGGAGCTACCCTGCCTCCACTAGACACAGCAGGGTAAGAGTTCCATGATCCCCAATAGGTAGGGACTAAAACCCCAAGCCAGTATGAAGCAGTTACAGAAAAAAGACCATCGGCCCCTCTGTCTCTCATAAAGATTTATGGGGATCACATCTCTCAGCGGGGAAATGAGGCAGGAAAATGAGGTCTGGAGGCAGGGAACATAAGGCTGATTCACACTTTGGCTATGACAGGAGATATCCTCTCCATAGGGCATAGGCCAAGTAAATGACTTTGTAACTTTACCTCATCCTCTCCATTTACATAGAGTGTACCTCAAGTAACCAACGGAATCCTCTAGGGGGTATTTAAACTCCCCAACATTCTATAACGGAGCCTTTGAGCCCCTATGCTCAGGCCCGTTCCCACACTGTGACTGTGGAGTGTACTTTCATTTCGAATAAATCCCTTAATTCCTTTCTTGCTTTTTTTTTTTTAGATGGAGTTTTGCTCTTGTTGCTCCAGCTGGAGTGCAATGGCGCCATCTTGGCTTACTGCAACTTCTGCCTCTCAGGTTCAAGTGATTCTCTTGCCTGAGCCTCCCAAGTAGCTGGGATTACAGGCATGCACCACCACGCCTGGATACTTTTTGTATTTTTAGTAGAGACATGTATTTTTGTATTTTAGTTTCACCATGTTGATCAGGCTGGATGGTCTCGAACTCCTGACCTCGGGTGATCCACCTGCCTCGGCCTCCCAAAGTGTTGGGATTACAGGTGTGAGCCACCATGCCTGGCCTTTCCTTGCTTTGTTTGTGCCTTTTGTACAATTCTTTCTTCAAGACGCCAAGAACCTGGACACCCTCTACTGTTAACAGGAGTGTTTCACAAAACTAAAGAATTATTTTGTGTTTACGTTAAATTTAATGTGTGTGGTAGAAACGAAAACTAGAGATTTAAAAGGAAAGGGTATAATGGCAAGAATGAAATCCTTGAGTAACCAGATGCAATGGGATATAAGGAACAATTTAAAGTGTGAACTTAGGAAGCAGAAAAGTTTTACCTTTGAAAAAAAGAGGAAAAATCAACTATATAGAGATCTATCAAAATGGAGATAGCTTTTTTATGAACAATCGGGTTGCTTTTGTTTTCTTAGAGAAGTAAGAAGTAAGTTAATTGACTAAGAGTTAAATACTGAGCAGGGGTAGGGGTTTTTTAAAAATATTACACCTTTATCAGAGTGAGAAAGTAAACCTACCAGGATAATAGTTATAGTTTAGAAAGCCTACTTAAAAGCTATGGCTTTAAAATTTCAGTCACCATCGTTGTGTGTTTTTTACAAAAGCATTCATCAAGGTTGGTGTAGGCCTTGTTGCTGTATTCTACAGTTTACACTGAAATTTTAGTTTAGGCTGGGTGAGGT
This sequence comes from Homo sapiens, assembly GCF_000001405.40. Taxonomy (NCBI): domain Eukaryota; kingdom Metazoa; phylum Chordata; class Mammalia; order Primates; family Hominidae; genus Homo; species Homo sapiens. Next base: position 98,488,336 of record NC_000011.10, on the reverse strand, counting down.
GGCTCATGTCTGTAATCCCAGCACTTTGGGAGGCCGAGGTGGGTGGATCACAAGGTCAGGAGTTCGAGACCATCCGGGCGAACATGGTGAAACCCCATCTCTAGTAAAATTACAAAAATTAGCTGGGCGTGGTGGCAGGCACCTGTAATCCCAGCTACTCGGGAGGCTGAGGCAGGAGAATCACTTCAAACCGGAGGGCGGGGGGTGCAGTGAGCCGAGATTGTGCCACTGCACTCCAGCCTGGGTGAAAGAGTGAAAATCCATCTCAAAAAAAAAAATAGTTTAAATAGAGTTGTTTCTATAAGTAAAAAAGGCCACTGAAGTAAGAATACTTTCAATTAATTGAATGGCTATAGTAATAGACTACAAAATCAAGCAGTTTAAAGATAGAAGAGAGGACATAGGTAATGGTAGATAATGACTGAAAGTCGCCAGAAGTTTGAAAAAAAATTGACATGGGAGAAAGATTAAAAGATAGCTTGAAAGTTAAGTGGTGTTATTAACAGAGTGAGATACTTAAATTATGAATTTCAGAGGTGGTATACCTATATTTTGTTGTCATTAAATAGCAAATCACCAAATGAAGAGTAAGAGGCTGAGGTTAAGAGAAGGAAAAGGTCTTTAGAAATGAGGAAGTAAAAAGAACACAGACACCAGGTGTTTGCTATATCGTCTCCATCGATATTGAAGTCATAATGAATGACTTCAACCTAATTGGACATTTTAAGTGAGAAGAGAGGAATACAGTATGTAAGTGGGTAATGAAAAGGGGGAGGAGACACAGAGAGCAAGCAGCACATCTTTGGGTTATGTGGCACATAATGTGGAGGAGAAAAATAGAAGTATCACCTTCAGAAGCTGGCACCCAGTGTCTTCACTTGGCAGCCTGAATTCAGTTTTATTAAGAACAAAAAGAACTTTGAAGAATGAATATAGGAGATATTATAGCTAGTATATTATGACTTCCTGAAGGCATACTGTATCTTTTTTGGATATATGTATCTCCCAGATACATAAATGATAGACTCTGGTAAGACAATAAACAAAAATGTATAGTTATATGAGATTAGATCATGATGAATGACCTAGAAGGTTTATAATTCTAATGGTAAGATATAAAAAAGCATGTGCAAAATATGATGGTCTGAATGGTCTCTTAGATGAATTAGTTTAGTTTACTCTTTTAGCATGTTTTTAAATAAATCGTTAGTGCTAAGGCAGGGGCAAGAGCAGACACTTAAGCATGTGGGTGGATGCAGGAAGACAGGAAGCCAGTAACTGAGGGTGAAGAAGAGAACAAGTGTGGTATAAACAAGGCCAGGAGCCCATATCATCCAAAGTAGTAATGACGCCAAAATAATACTGACTTGATGATTTCTTGCCAAGTTATTTTCCTAAAGTTGTCCATCTTATGCATAGAATTTAATTCCAACATTGAAAATGAACTGTTTTCCCATATACAGATGGGCTCCTTAATGCACCATCATTCTCTATGCCTTGCCTCCACGTTTTTACCAATATATGAGGACAGAGTGGCCTTTGTTGGGGATACTAATGAAGAAGTAACTCATATAATTCAATTTCCACGTTCTTCTAAGCCCTTTTACTAAAGTGCCAGTGAACTGCTGTTCTAGATAATCTACATCACATTCATTGTCATCTTGCTATCTTGCCTAGTGGCAAAATTGTTTTAAAAGTACAAACGTATTGAGATATGTACTGTTAATAATTAATGCTATGACATATACAATAATTACTATGCAAATCAAAAGTTTCTCACTTATTAGATAGGTTTTTAATTAATGTTTTTCTAAAAATTTTAACTCTTTTACAAAACAAATACAGTTATCTCTTAGCATTCACCAGGAATTTGAACCAATACCCACCATGGATGTCAGCGTCTGTGGATCCTCGTCTCTTAAGTCAGCCCCCTGCATCTGCAGGTTCCACATCTGCAAATTCAAGCAAATGCTGATCAGAAGTATGTATTTAGTCCACGGTTGGTTGAATCCATGGATGCAGCACCCATAGATACAGAGGGCTAATGGAAATGATGAAATAGTGTTATTTTAATGGCATACCATTTAAAGGAAACATAATATTTAGTTTGTGATTGCATTAGTCAGGGTGCTCTAGAGGGACAGAACTAATAGGTTAGATTAATATAGGAAGAAGAGTTTATTAAGGAGTATTGGCTCATATGATCACAAGCTGAAGTCCCACAGTAGGCCATCTGCAAACTGAGGAGCAAGGAAGCCAGTCTGAGTCCCAAAACCTCAAAAGTAGGGAAGCCGACAGTACAGTCTTAAGTCTGGCTGAAGGCTGGAGATCCCCTGGCAAATCAATGGTGTAAATCCAAGAGTCCAAGAGCTGAAGAACTTAGAGTCTGATGTTCCAGTGTAGGAAGCATCCATCACTGGAGAAAGATGTTGGTCAGAAGACTCAGCAAGTCTGCTTTATTCTAGCTGTGCTGCCAGTTACTAGATGGTGCCCACCCAGATTGAGGGTAGGTCTGCCTCTCCCAGTTCACTGATTCAAATGTTAATCTCTTTTGGCAGTACCCTCACAGACACACCCATGAACAATACTTGACATCCTTCAGTCCAATCAAGTTGACACTTAATATTAACCATCACAATAATTACAACTATCTTCAAAATCATCAATTTATATTTGAGTAAAAATATTGGATCATGGGCCGGGCACGGTGGCTGATTCCTGTAATCCCAGCACTTTGGGAGGTCAAGGTGGGTGGATCACCTGAGGTCAGGCGTTCGAGACAAGCCTGGCCAACATGGTGAAACCCTGTCTCTACTAAAAATACAAAAATTAGCCTGGTGTGGTGTAATCCCAGCTACTCAGGAGGCTGAGGCAGGAGAATTGCTTGAAACCAGGAGGCGGAGGTTGCAGTGAGCCGAGATCATGCCACTGCACTCCAGCCTGGGTGACAGAGCAAGACTCTGTCTCAAAAAAAAAAAAAAGGATCATTTAGGGTTTTTTGTTGTCAGTAGTTTATAATTTGAGTTAATAGCATTTACTTAATGAGTGGGACTGTTACTTTTATGTGTCAACTTGACTAGCCCAAGTGATGTCTGTTTAGTTGGTATTCCTGGGTGTGCCTGTGAAACCAGCCCAATTGTCTCATAGAACTAGTGATTATGGTTTCTTTTGAACAAACACAGAAATTGACCCTCCCAGACTTAAAACTTAAAGTTACATTTGTCTTATCTGAGTTCCTTTTTCAGGAAACCAATCATCAGGTCTACCAGATAATATCAGGGAACTGGAAGTCCCCATTTTAATTGGTCAGGGAGATGGATTTGAGACTGATCTCCCATTCTCCTCAGCTGTGGCACCCGAATAAAGGCTTCTTACCTGGCAATATTCTTCATCTCAATGATGGTGAAGTGAGCATCAGAACCTAGACTGAATCCCTGGTGTATTTATAAGATCTGTGAAAATATTTTTAGAAGAGATTAGCATTTGAATTGGAAGAATGAGTAAATAAGATCACCCTCACCAATGTGCATGGGCACCATTCAATCCTTTGATGGCCTAAACAGAATAAAAAGACAGAGGGTGAATTTCTATTCTTTCATCCTTTTATGCCTTTGGCCAGGTCATTGGCACTTCTGGTTAATGGATCTTCAGACTCAGACTTAGACCAAAACCATCAGCCCCTTCACTCTCAGGCCCTCGGACTTGGAATGAGACTTAACACTATTGGCTCCTATAGTTCTCCAACCTTCAGGCTTGGACTGGAACTATACCTCTTGGCTTTCCTAGTCCTACAGCTTGCAGATAGCAGATTATGGTAATCCTCAGTCTCCATAATCCCGTGAGCCAAACCCTCAGAATAAATGTTTTTCTGTACATCTATATATATCCTATTGGTTCTATTTCTCTGTAGAACTCTGACTTAATACTTCAGTGATTTAATATAACTATGAGAATACTTTAACAAATTTAAATTATTTACATCTTGATTAATGAACACAGGTTTTTTTTCTTGTTATTGTTTTACTTTGCGAAAATCAAAATGGAGTCACTTCTGCTAAAAACAAAACAAAACAAAGCTAGGCATGGTGGCTTACACCTGTAATCACAGATCTTTGGGAGGCTGAGGCTGGAGGATTGCTTGAAGCCAGGACTTCGAGACCAGTGTGGGCAACAAAGTGAGACCTCATCTCTAATAAAAATTTTCAAAAAGTTAGCCTGGCATGGTGGCACATGCTTGTAGTCCCAGCTACTTGGTAGGCTGAGATAGGAGGATCACTTGAGCCTAGGAGTTGGAGGCTGCAGTGAGCTTGGTCATACCTATGTATAGCCACAGACTTTAGCCTGGGTAACAGAGTAAGACCCTGTCTCAAAAGAAAACAAAAACAAAAAAACCCCAACCAAATAAGCAAACAAAACCTTGAAAAATGAAAATGAACCCCAGGAAGGCCACAAATGGAAGGTTCTCAGACACAAATGTCTGCAGCAAAAACTATCATGAAAAAAAAAAGTCACAAAAAATTCTGGAAAAACCACAACCTTGCACAAAGGCCATGTCAACCTTACACCAAAAAATAATTTGTCTGTGAGGACATCTGCTCAGCAACTGCCTGTTCAACCTTTGACTGACAGGAAACTTGCTACTGATTCTTGTGGGCAAGGATAATCTCAAAACAATTATATAATCCTCCTCGTTTTTCCTCTAAAACGTTTGTCTTTCTTTACCTCCCTGAAATGCACATAGTTTACTATGGCACCTGCCATCCAATTGCAGTGCCTATTCTCAGGTAAATAACATTTTCTTTTAGAAATAACATTTCTAAAATGTTACAGTGACAATATTTACAATGACAAATTTGTTCTTTTCAATCAGTTTCAGCATCCAATTGATTCTATATGTTTTTATAGTTAAAATATATAACAAAATGTAAATTTCTACTTATAAATAAATGCAAATGATTTCATTCTAAATAATTTCCACTTACAAGTAAATGCAAATGATTTCATTCTAAATGATTTGCTTTATCTAGCTATGTAAACAATTGTGAAAGCTCAGAAATAATATAGCATTAATTTTTCACTTAAAATGTATAAAATTTGTTAGACATAAAGCTCAGAGAAAATGGACTTCAGACATAAGAGCATTCAAAATTAGTTATTATATAACTTACAAGAAAATTTTTAAACATTCTAATTTTTATTATTGGTCTTATATTATTTAACTTAGTAATTGGCCTAAGTTGGTCTTAATTTAAGTGTGTGGGACATGTGTTATGATTAAGGATCCACTTTTACATTTTTATATTAGCAGATATGCACAGTTTTGAGTTGAAACATTTGTGTATTTACAAAAAAATTAAAATACATGCTCAGAAGTTACATCATTTTGTCACTCACACCCTACGCTTCTGAGCATATAACTATTCAATAGTTATATCTGTGCTGAATTCTGTGTTGGGTGACCTGATAGGAGTCTTCATAGAGAATTTAATGTCCATCTTGGGCTCTCCACTTTACTGTCAGGTATTAGAAGTCAAAGTTCCTCCAGTGTTAGGTGATATATTATTTGTTATTGACTGAATTACAGCCTTAATATGTATTAAAGAGGAACAGCTTAGAAGACTACCCTCTACTCTTCTCATTTGATAATGTTTTTAACTTTTATCTCATTACCATGTAGGGTCTGTATAATGGTCTGTATAATTCTGACATTCAACTGGGGAAGTTAAGGTTTACTTGTTCAAGTTAAAGTAACACATTGTCTCATAGAGCTTGGAAAGATAAACTATAAATACATAAATAAATACACATAATTTGTTATACACACATTTTATGTAAGTATAGAGAGAGAATTTTTTCACCTAAATTCATATATTTTCTTCTAAATCGCCATTTAATTTGACAACTTCTCCCAGTGTGTCTGACCAAAGAAGTTATTTTGGAGAACATTGGGTTAAATGATTATGTGTGCTATTTTATCATTCCAACAGCTTTTACTTCAATTCTATTATTGTTCCTAAATTGCTGATGAGAAAACTAAACCTTACATCGGTAAAGTAACTTGCAGGGGGTACAGAGATACATTCATGCACTAGCTCTATCTTTCTTTTTCACTAACTTCACACTTTATGCATTATGAAATATTTTAAAACACGAAAATGATCTATTAGCCCCACTCATACATTTATGCTAAAGTTATAATAAACTTAATCTGTCCCTTTTTATCATCACCTTTTGCACGATAGTTTCACACTGAGAAATTTAAAGGAAAATGTGTTTTAATTAGTTTAACATGTGGGTTTATTTTGCCACTTATCCTTGCATATTGTGAGTGAGAGAACATAGTAACTATTAAACCACTCCTATGAATACAAGGTGCTTAAGAAAGGAAAAGTTTAATCCCAATTCTTATATACATGTAGGATAACCACATATCTTCAAAATGTTGTTTACTTCAAACATCTGACACCACTAAGCCTGACAAATGAAACGCTGCAAAGAGCTTCTCAATTGTCGTAAATTAAAACACAATACAACAAGGTATATAAAGTAATCATGGGGTCAATAAAATGTTACCATTTTAAGTTCCAGAAGCCCAGAACATAAATTCTAGGTTTTCAGAAGACAGGTGTTTTTTTTTAAACAAAACATGTTACATGCTCTGGTCTCCAGTGGATGACTTCACTAAAAATTATGAAAGAAAAAGAAATGCTTGAGAGATTTGAATACAGAGTTGTTTGAAAATTATCCAATAAATAATTGAAAAAGTTCCAGCAACCAAAGAGGTGGATTATAATTAAATTAATTAACAAATTAATCTATTAAATAAGTAAATATATTTAACTAGAGAGAAATTTTGAAGGACATATCAAATTTCATAGTAGATAACAATTTATCTAATCTAATCAAAATACTGGTGTTACAGAATTAAAATTGTATTGGAGAAGTTATTTTAAGAACAGTAATAAAGAACTTAATGAAAATAAAATTCCATAGCTTAATTGAAATTGTTTCTATGAACTAGTTTTTGACCTATTATGTTCATTTTAGTGCTTTGATTGAGTTAGAATTACTGGATTAATTTCTTCCTAGAAAACAGGTTTAATGAAAGAATATAAAGTATGTAAATAGAAATAGCATATATCTTTAATATCTATGTAGAAAACATTATCCTTGATTTTTTAGAAAATGATTAACTCACAATTAAATCCTACAGGTCAGAATTGCTTTGAAGTACAAGAAACCTTCAAAACTACTTTATGATGTAAATGCTATTGTATGTTATCCAATAACTAGATAAGTTTCTATATTTCTTTACCTTTTTAAAATACTTATATCCTCTAGTCTACCCCATTTGTTAAACTCATGGTTTTCCTTTATGCCTACTCAAACCTGTGTCTTTTATGAACCCTTCTCTGTTACTTCTGGTCTCAGTTATTCATGACACCATCAGTTATTCTATTGTCATTTGTGTGTACTTATGAATTAATAATCGTCTTGGTCTATTTTTGGGGAGGAGTGCTTAGTTTTTTAAAAGATTTATTTAAAATGTTATTGTTAAATGACAAATAATAATCGTGAAATAGCCAGGCAAAAAAAAAATACCACATGATTTCACTTATATACAGAATCTTAAAAAGTCAAATTTATAGACGTAGAGAGTAGAATGTTGGTTGCCAGAGGCTGGGGTTTGGGGTGTGGAATGGGGAAATGTTTACTAACAGGTAAAAAGTTTCAGATAGACCAGAGGAATGTTTTACAGATCTGTTACATGTTACTCTATTTTAATAACTTAGTTTCAGGTCCTTTCCCTCCATTTGGTCATAAATAATTTTAGGGCAATGAACACATCCTATTTATTATTATTAACTAAAATATGTAGCATAGTTGTTTGGCATATAGTAGACACCCTCTGATTAATCAATGGGTTCGAGCAAACTTTGTAAGGTATTTCATTGCCAACAGTTATGTTTCAATGTACCAGATAATCTTCTAAAAGCTGCACAAGCACACATGTGCATGCATACACAAACACACACACACACACACACACACACACACATACTGTAACAATGTTATATTCCTGTATATTTCTGTTGTATGATTATTCCTATATTCCAGATGAAAAAACAAAGGCACACAAAGAACACAAAGAATACATAACTTTCCCATAGACATGCTGCTACTATAAATGGCAGCCTGGGAGATACAGACTTGAGCAGTTTACCTCTGAAGTGCATGTTCTTTGTTTTACATTATATGACTGCCCTGTTGAAATGCTTTTAAACATTCATTCATAAATTAATACATTAAAATTGCATTACCTCCTGTCATTGTCATTCTTTTCATTGGAAATGACAGAATCTCACCTTATGCTAGTTTAATAAAATACAATATAATAAATAGGCTTACAAAACTTTAAAAAAGATAATTTTGTTTTTAAAAAAAATCTATGTACTCAATCATTTCATAAAACAATTACACAAATCAGTCTCTAATCTCCTCACTTCCTCACTCTGCTTTCTATTCTGATATATTCATTATTAGATGCCTCTCTATGTTCTTAAAATAAGTCCCCAGCAGCTGTAAGCTACAAAGGCTCTTTTCACCAGAAATATAAGATGGAATTAGTGCCTCCTGCCTACAATTCCAACAAAGTTCCTGGGGAAAGCATCACATCAATTTCTTATCAATGACCCATGAAAAGAGAGTTTTTTTCAAGTAAAACGCCTCATCCCATCACCTGAAATTAATTATGTGAATGAGAGAGGGTTGTTTTCCAAAGATGGTGACCAGAAAACAAAACCTTATGTTAATAAACAATGTGAAAAAGTTAGTTTGAAAAAGACGTATGACATAAAATATTTTGTTCCTAGGCTGGGCACAGTGGCTCAAGCATATAATCCCAGCACTTTGGGAGGCCAAGGTGGGCAGATCACTAGAGGCCAGGAGTTGGAGACCAAGTTGGTCAACATGGTAAAACCCCATCTATACTAAAAATACAAAAAATTATACAGGTATGGTCGTGTGCACCTATAATCCCAGTTACTCAGGAGGCTGAGGCATGAGAATAACTTGAACCCAGAGGCAGATGTGGCAGCGAGCCGAGATAGTACCACTGCACTCCAGCTTGGGCCACAGAGCAAGACTCTGTCTCAAAAAAACAATTATATATATATATATTTATATATAAATATATATAAATAATATAAACATAAATATAAATATAAATATATATATAAATATATATAAATATATATAAATATATATATATATGTTATAGTTCCTTTGGAATCTACCCTTTGCTCTCAGTTATAAATCTGAGCAGACGACCCCTTGAAAACCCCTTGAAATACACAGGGCCGTTCACTATGTTAGCTGCGTTCTTCAGTATGGGCTCAGTACTTTTTCACATTCTAGCCTTGAAAAACTAACAACTAAAACAACTACAAAAACTAAAAACAATCATAGTTGTAATATAGTAAGTACTATACTAGTAGTGTGGTAAAAATGCTTTCAGTTAACAAAGAAAGAATCAGTTAATTTTATAAATGCTTCACAGTGGTGTGGAATTTTGAGCTAAACCTTGAAAACTAAGTATTTGTTTATTGTATTTGTTTTAATTATGTCAGAAAGAAGATAATAGAATTTAAGAACAAATAACATAAACAAATGCCTTGAGATCAAGATTTTATGACTTCTTAGACAATATTCTACCATAAATAAAAAGGAGGGTGCAGTAGGAGGTGAGACTGGATCTACAGGTGGAAGCTAGTAGCTTGCTGGAGGTCTTAGTAATTTTTTGTTGTTGTTAATGAGTTTTGAAATAGGGATACTATTTCTAGACAGTTACAAGACAAACTAAAGGATATGACTGGGACTTGTTTTTTTTTAAGTTTTTATTGAAAAGATAGATAAAAAAGAAAAAGTGGAGAAGTGAGAGAGGAAGAAAAGAAAGAAAACAAGAAAAAAGAGAAGGAAGAAAATGAAGAAAGGAAGGAAAAGTAGATTCACAAAATACTGATACTATTATTTTATTTATTCAAATTACTTGTAATTTGAAGTGGAACTTCTGCCTTTATATGTGGGACAAAAAGCTTTTATTTACTGAAATGCCTATGGAAAGTGTCAGAATGAGTGTCAAGTTAATATTACTTTGGAAACCCCAGCCCTTATTTTCCCTTAACCACCCTAATGCATTGCAGACCAATTAATTATAACCTGGAGAATTTAGGTATTAGCATTTTTAACCAGTATGAATAATGTAGAAGTTGTTTATATGTGAAATAATATCGTAAAACTTATAAATACCTACCAAGTTAATAATGTGAGAGTCACTGCATGGTAAGAAGATCAGGCAGTGATATGGTTTGGCTCTGTGTTTCCACCCAAATCTCATCTTAAATTTTAGTTACCATTATCCTCAAATGTCATAGGAGGAAACCAGCGGGAGGTAATTTAATCATAGGAGTGGTAACCCTCATGCTGTTCTCATGATAGAGAGTTCGTTCTCATGAGATCTGGTAGTTTGATAGGGGGCTTTTCTCTCTTTTCTTGGCACTTCTTTCTCCTGCCACCTTGTGAAGAAACATGCGTTTGCTTCCTCTTCTGCCATGATTGTAAGTTTTCTGAGGCCTCCCCAGCCATGCAGAACTGTGAGTCAATTAAACCCCTCTCCTTTATAAATCACCCAGTCTTTGGTATTTTTTCATAGCAGAGTGAGAAAGAATACAGGCAGATTCCAAAATATCTAAGATACTATCCTTGTAGAAAGCAACCTCCAAAAGGTCCCCTATAATCCGTGCCTCCTGCTTTTTACACATTTAAGTAATCCTCCACCCTTGAGTGTGGGCTGGAATTAGTGACTTAATTATAATGAACTCAACATGATAAAAGGTGTGAGAAGTTACTTCTGAGATTGGGTTACAATAAAATGGGTGACTTCTGCTTTGCTTACTATCTCCATTTCCCATTATTTGTTCTGAGAAAAGCCAGCTACCATGTTTTGTGTAACGTGAGAGAGACAGAGAACCACATGGTAAGGAACTGATGTCTTTTGCCAATAGTCTTGCCAAAAGCCACTTCAGTAAGTTTGAATGTGAATCCTCCCTTAGTTGAGCTTTGAGATGACTGCAGCCCTGGTGAAAACCTAAACTGTGGCTTTCTGAGAGGCCTTGAGCTAGGTGAACCTAGCCTAGCAGCACTTAAATGCCTGACCAACAGAAACTATGAAACAATAAATGCTTGTTGTTTTTAAGCTGCTAGATATTGTTGGTTTTTATGTAGCAACAGATAATGAAAATGCCTTTCTTATGAGATGCTAATAATGACTTTCATTGCTTTTTTTCCCCCTACAATCTCTGTGAGTTTATTCATTTGCTCTTGGCCAAGGACTAGAAGTGGTCATCACTTAGCCAAATAAAGTACCAAATCCATAATCAGTGTGTGGTAATAAACATTTGGATACATACAGTAGGAATGGCTTTGGGCAATGACAAACTCAGGAGGCCATAGAGAAACAAAGGACTGAAAACCTTGCCGTTTTGGAAACTGAATGCTTTTTTCCTTCTAAAAACATTACGACGTGATTTTTCATACATTCTTTTTTTTTTTTTTTTGAGACTGAGTCTTGCTCTGTTGCCCAGGCTGGAGTGCAGTGGTACGATCTCACCTCACTGTAGACTCCACCTCCCAGATTCAGATAATTCTCCTGACTCAGCCTCCCTGAGTGTGCACATATCAGATGTCTCTCTCTCAGTGTCCTGATCTCTGCTTATGAAGACACTCATCAAATTGGATTCAGGACTACCCTAACAACCTCACTGTACATTAATTACCTCTGTTAAGGTCCTATTTACAAATACAGTCACATTTTGAGGTACTGAAGTTTAGGGTTTCAACATATGAATTTTGAAGGGGCACACTGGAGCCCATAAGAAAGTAGCAGACAAATGTTCAGGTTTCTTTCTGTTTTTAATCATTAGGCCATACTGAGCCATTCAGTTCATATGCTTCCCTGTATCTGTTCTATGAAAGAGGGCAATTTGTAGTCTTAATTCAGATCCAGACTTAGTCTCGTCAATTCTTTACAGTATGATGAATGAGTGGCAGGTCAATTAATTAACAACATTTGTAGAGAACCCAGTTTGTTCAAAACACATACTTACTCAAGCATTAGAGCTAGAGCAAATATATTACTCTCTCTTTTTAAACAATTGTTACTGGATATTTTGACAAAATCAAGTTGCTGATGCAGTGTTTTTGATATGCTAATTTGTTTGTAGCTTCATATGTCTATACATAGCTACTTAAAATAAATACATCCATTCTATGTCCTGTGTTTACTTGGTAGAAAACACATAAGAAGAACATAAACCAAGAAGAAAAATTGTATTGCTGTATATTTATAGGTAAATTATATATATATATATATATATATATATATATATATATATATATATATATGTATCCCTTTCTACTTATTTCTATTTAGGCTTTGAAATGGTTTGGGGGTTGAAGAGACTGGGTGTCTGATCCTGACTTGATTATTTATTAATTGTATAGTCTTTAGCAAGTTGCTTTATTTCTCTGAATATCCATTTTAAAATTGTTTTGTAAAATAATTTAACATACATGATATGTTGTAATTTAACATGTTATATATAATTATATAAAATAGATACTACACACACATATACATTATATATAATATGTACATATATAAATATATAATGTATATTTTAACATATAGTCACCTACAAAAATGTATTCTGATAAAATTAGTGAAAATAAAAAGCCTATAACTCCTATTTTCCTAATAGAATTAATAAGCATTTTCTATTCTCCAGAAAATACTGCCTTGATATGCTAAGTAGAGAAGCAATATATTTAAGAATCATTAATCTCAATTAGCTTTATTTTCCACCAGGAAGTTGTCCAAATGACCTTACCTATGCAAATGATGCCTAATTATTCTCACTAAAGGATCTAAGTTCAATTATCTGGTATTTTGGAGTTCAGCCAGTGTGTTTTGTCCCAAATATTTCAAACCTTCAGGAACTCATTTAAGGTGTCTTTTAACAAAATGCCCCTTACGGCACCTAGAATTTATAGCACTGGTGATATAACTTAATTTGTAATTTACTGTGTTTTGCCTTGTCAACATATCTTAATTATGGCTTCACTTTTGGCTAAATTGGTATAATCGGAGGTCCTGCCTAAAGTAGCAGTACAACTTCACATTAAAACTAGAATATAATGCAATGAAAATCATGAACATGACTGTCTCTAATGTGATTTGGCTGTGTCCCCACCCAAATCTCATCTTGAACTGTAGCTCCCATAATCGCCATGTGTGGTGGGAGGGACCTGATGGGAAGTAATTGAGTCATGGGGGTAGATTTTTCCCATGCTGTTCTCATGACAGTGAATAAGTCTCACAAAATCTGATGGTTTTATAAAGGGCAGTTCCCCTGAATACACTCTCTTACCTGCTGCCATGTAAGACATACCTTTGCTCCTCCTTCACCTTCTGCCATGATTGTGAGGCCTCCCCAGCCATGTGGAACTGTGAGTCCATTAAACCTCTATTTCTTTATAAATTACCCAGTCTTGGGTATGTCTTTATTCACAGCATGAGAATGGACTAATATGGTCTCATAAAATAAAATAAAGATGTAAAATTTACAAATCCAGTCATATTTAATGGTTCCAACATATTGCTGATCTTCACCATCAGCACTTAACACCATGGTCTGAGCTAGGTACAAACATTGAAGTCTTAAAAATGTATACCAGTTGTGTGGATGGTTTTAGATTTTGGACATATATGTGTCTGTGTATGTATGTGTGTGTGTGTGTGTGTGTGTGTGTGTGTGTGTGTAGAGGATGGAAGACAAAACATTCCTATGTGTCAACAATAGACATTCATGGCTTTACATGCACCTTTATTAGGTATTAGTGGTATAAATATTAACATGTTAGCCTCAGTTTTGTCATATTTGAACTTGAGACAACAATAGTGCCTGCTATTCAATCAGAATTAAGTGTGGTGCTTGAAAAAAATGTTTAGCACAGTATTTTCTACAGGAATTATTTAAATAACGTACCATGATTATTGCTGTTTATCATCCTTCTTAAGATCAGTTAATTCTCACCTTTATTCCATGAAGCATATCCTGAAGGAGCATAAAGTTGCTGAGCACACTTAAGAGTTCACCAAATACAAACACATAAAATATACCAACTTCTTTAGGACCACTTGATGCCCTTAAGGATTCAAATAAAAAAACAACTGCTGAAAATAAACAAACAACTCTCAATTCCTTTAAGCAAATGTTTTGGCACTGGTTTTGTAAAATACAGACAATTATAATGTTGCCAATCCAACAGATAATTTTGCATAAAAATTTTGTGCCTCCTTAGCATTTTTCTTCTAAATCCAAGAACTGCTCAAAGATTGTATAGTAGGTGCCAAAATACTTTGTAATCAGCTTTGATTTCACTCTCCTAAAAATAATGCTGTTACTGAGATTAGTAACAGTGAAATGGGATTCAGGAGAAGTTGTTTCTTGCTGGATAAAAGATTACAACTAAAAGCTCTTAAATCTCTGCAATGTATTTCATGTATTTGGATTATCAATTTATACTTTCCTTTAGGAAAACACATAATACAACTTTATTTTTTTTTTACAGAAAAATAAATCTCATCATGTCTTGTTGTCATTTTGTAGCTTACTGTGACAGGCAGAAGAATGTCCCAACAAAGATGTCCATTCCCTAATCCTCACAACCTTTGAGTAGGTTACACTACCGAAGGAAATTTGTGGATGCAATTCATATGCCTAGTGTTCCCTTATTGGAATGTTTAGCATATGGGAGTTATTTATATCCTACTGCTCGAGGCCATCACCAAGGTCGGATTTTTCACTCATGCAAAAACTCAAAAAAATTGCAACCTCAGGCATAAATGGGTTAAGGTTGTGGACTAGGTGTATGGAAATTATCCTAGTGTGCCCAATCTAATAGTAGGAGCCCTTAAAAATCCAAGAGCTTTCTTTTTTAACTCAAACCAGTGAAGCAGGGAGTAAGAAGGAAGATCAGAGAGATATGAAGCATGTGAAGGACTTGACCCACGCTGCTGGCTTTGATGATGGAGGAAGGTAAACATAAGCCATAGAATGTGGGTAGCATCTAAAAGCTTTGAACCCTCCCTTGCCAACAGCCAGCAAATGGAAACTTTATTCTTACAATAACATAAACTGAAGTCTGCCAACCACCTAAATAAATTTGAAAGAGATTCATCCCCAGAGCATCCAAAAAGAAGCATAGCCATAGTGACACCTTAATTTCTGCTTTGTGAAACCTAGAGCAGAGAACCAGGAAAGTTATGCTGTGCCCAGACTTCTGACCTACATAATGTGAGACAATAATGGATGTCAGTTTAAACTGCTGAATTTGTGGTCATTTGGTATGGCAATAACAGGAAATTAATATATTTATTTTATTTCCTTTTCTGCATCCATGATGCTAATATTTATGAAGTCAGAATTTGGTAGAATAATAGGTTTCTATTTCCATTTTATTTACTTATTTTTTGAGATAGGGTTATTAGTCCATTTCACCCTACTATAAAAAATACAATCTTGGCAGAAGGTGAGGAGAGGCAAGTATGTTCTTCACAGGGTGGCAGGAAAAAGAGAGCAAGCAAAACGGAGAAGAGCCCCTTATGAAGCCATCAGATCTCATGAGAACTCACTATCATGAGAACAGTGTGGGGGAAAGTGCTCCCATTATGCAATCACCTAGCACCAGGTCCCTCCCTCGAGACATGGGATTACAGTTTGAGATGAGATTTGGGTTGGGGACAGAGCCAAGCCGTATCACAGGGTCTTGCTCTGTTGCCCAGCCTGGAGTGCAGTGGTGTGGTCATGGCTTACTGTAGCCTCAGCCTTTTTGGCTCAAACGATCTTCCCACCTCAGCCTCCTGAATAGCTGGGACTAGAGGTGCATGCCACCACACCCAGCTATTTTTTTTAAAAAGGTGTAGAGTCGGGGTCTCACTACATTGCCCTGGCAGGTCTTGAACTCTTAGGCTCAAGCGATCCTCCTGCCTCAGCCTCCCAAAATGTTGGGATTACAGGCATGAGCCACCACACCCCGCCCATTTCTATTTATAACTGCCCAAATTTTGCTTGCTTTCTGGATACTGTTTAATTTTTTTCATTTTTCTAAAATACTTCATGCTTTCCATAGATATTTGTTTATTTATTATATTTACAATATTTGGGGCTAATTAGCTCTGTCAGAAATAGCATTGATCAAATCTCTCTTGGAAAACATTTGCTCCATAGAAGCACTTACTTCTAAGATTAGTGTCTGTAGCCTAAACATGGCAGATATTTGGTGGTTCCCTTGTCCCAAGTTCGTGGTATTCATGTCCTTGTATGATCCTCTTCTTTTGATTGAAGTGAGACCTGTAGCTTCCTTACAAAAAATACCATATGATAAAGGTGATGGAATATATGTAATTACATTACATATCAGACATGACCACAGTCCAGGCCAGGACCTGGGTTATAGGTTTATAAAAACCTCAGAAAAGGAAAGAACTAAGCTATGTTAAAATCCTGACCCACAGAAGCTGAGTTGATAAATGCGTATTGATTTAAACTGCTAAGTTTGTGATAAGATTGTTACACAGCAATGGATAGCTAATATAACATGTTTACTTTAATCAGAAGTAATGTCAGAAATGCCCCTTGCTGCTACTCAAAAGAGCTCAGAAGGTGAGGACCAGTAGAGATATTCATTAAAACAATTAAGTAGTTCCATCATGAATTTCCAAATCAATAGAGGTAGTAGTCAAATTTTCCAAGTTAATTAATATGTAGTGTATTTTTATTTTCTTAGCAGCTGAGATGTCCATTATTTTTCATTGTATATGGTTTGTTTAGTACATGCTTTAGGTGTCAGCAAGTTTTAAGGGAGCCTCCAGGGCCCCTTGAGCAGGTCTACCTTGAGGTTCTACAAAGCATATCAAAGCTATCCTGCTAAATAATTCAGAAAACAGGAGAAGTGGGTCCAAAGACCACTTGGAGGAAGATATAGAAAGGCCCAAAGACAGGAACTAGAAGGGCCTTGAGAAAAAAATAATGAAAGATTTTTAAATAAAGTTATATGTGCTTTCTACGACTTCACAAACATTCAGTAACTCCTTCAAAACTAAAGATAGGCTGGGTTCAGTGGCTCATGCCTGTAATTCCAGCGCTTTTGGAGGCTGAGGCAGGCAGATCACGTGGTCAGGAGATCGAGACCATCCTGGCTAACACAGTTAAACCCAGTCTCTACTAAAAATACAAAAAATTAGCCGGGTGTGGTGGCGGGAGCCTGTTATCCCAGATACTCAGGAGGCTGAGGAAGGAGAATCTCTTGAACCCGGGAGGCAGAGATTGCAGTGAGCCGAGATTGTGCCACTGCACTCCTGCCTGGCAACAGAGTGAGACACCATCTCCAAGGAATAAATAAATAAAAATAAAAATAAAATAGAAAAATTAAATAAATAAAACATACAAAAGTTAGCCAGGTGTGGTGGTGGGCACCTGTAATCCCAGTTACTCTGGAGGCTGGGGCAGGAGAATTGCTTCAACCCGGGAGGCGGAGGTTGCAGTGAGCTATCACGCCACTGCATTCCAGCCTGGGTGACAGAGCAAGACTCCGTTTAAAAAAAAAAAAAAAAATCACATTTAATGGTTAAAAAAAAACTGAATTATTTCCTGCTAAGGTCAGGATTGAGGAAAGAAGGACATTCATTTGGAGGTTCTAACCAATATAGTAATATAAATGTATATGCATGCATATTTATCACTAACAACAACGAATGTGTTTTGAATATATTAGCTAAAATATTATACAATTGATATAATAAATATATCTGTGACACATTTTTAAATTTTTGTAATACAACATACATATGTTATCTCACAAAAAGTATGTGACATACTAACGCACATACTAATGTGTATACTAATGTTCCTTTAGTGCTTAGTATACATTTTGAATTAAACTATGCTTGTTATTTTCCAAAACTGTTGACCTTTAAGAGGAAGAATCAAGACAGACTTTGAGACATAAAGCATTAATTAGATTTCAATATTTAAAAAGCTATGTTCATTATTCTAGCATCATCCCTATAAACATTTAATTTTGTCTACAATATTATTTTCTTAAAATGTAAAGTGAACAAGAATTTTAGAGATTATCTTCCTCAATCAACATATTTTGTAAATGAAGAAATTTTAGTCATTCTATAGGGTATAGTTTTAAATTTTTTTGTGAGCTTGATCCTTTTTTTTTTTTTTTTTTTTTTTTTGAGACAGAGTCTCACCTTGTCACCCAGGCTGGAGTGCAGTGACGCCATCTCGGCTCACTGCAAGCTCTGCCTTCCAGGTTCATGCCATTCTCCTGCCTCAGCCTCCCAAGTAGTTGGGACTACAGGCGCCTGCCACCACGCCCAGCTAATTTTTTTTTTTTGTATTTTTAGTATTGACAGGGTTTCACCATGTTAGCCAGGATGGTCTCAATCTCCTGACCTCGTGATCCACCCGCCTCGGCCTCCCAAAGTGCTGGGATTACAGGCGTGAGCCACCGCGCCCAGCCAGAGCTTGATCCTTTTTACATGTACTAATTGGCCAGTCCAGTAACACATTAATTTCCTTAATAATTAAGGTGATGTTCAGATATTTTTTGTTTTTCTACATTAATTTGTATAAATAATGTATTTCAAGAAAAATGTCGATTTTATTGAAGACATCAAATTTGTTGGCATAAAATTGTTTATAACTTTTATTATTTCAAAGTTACTTTCTCCAGAACTATTGGTGATAACTCTCCCAATGCTGAATGGGTGATTTGTGTTTATTCTCTTTTTTATGTGATCAGCAGAGCTAGATTTTATTGATTTTGTGGATCTATCAAAATATAAGCTTCTGGCTTTGCTAATTTTTTCTATTGTCTTATTATTTTGATTTCATTAAATTTCAGCTCTTATTCTAATTTGATTGCTTTCTGTACTTGGGTTTATTTTGCATTTACTTTTCTAGCTTAATAAGGTTGAACCTTATGTTCTTGGTTTAGATTTTTATTTTAGTTCCTAATATAAGTATTCAGAGCTATAATTTCTGCTCATAGAACAACATTAATTTTATCTTACAGATTTCACATCTATTTTTACCATTGAGTTAATTTTTTAAAATTCCCTTATGTTTTTACCTTCACGAATTATTTCAAGTGTCTTCTGTAATTTAGGGTTTTCCTAGATATTTTCTTATTATTTCTAATTTAATTTCATTTGGGTTCGGTGTAGATAATTTTATATATATTGACCTTTTCGTAGTCTAGCACATGCAATTCCTCAATGAATGTACATGTACACTTGAAAGAAGTGCGTATTCTGTCATAATTATATGCAGTTTTCTATGAATATTATTGGATCAAAGTGGCTGATAGTATTTGTCTTAGTAAGGTTGTCCTGCTGTAACTCAGCAGAGGCTGGGTGGCTTAAACAACAGAAATTTATTTCTCACTGGTTTGGAGGCTGGGAAATCTGACCCATGAGTGCCAACATGGTGGGTTCTGGTAAAAGCACACTTCCTGGTTTGC
The DNA here is from genome assembly GCF_000001405.40 of Homo sapiens. NCBI lineage: Eukaryota > Metazoa > Chordata > Mammalia > Primates > Hominidae > Homo > Homo sapiens. The sequence goes on along the minus strand of NC_000011.10, from coordinate 98,468,680 downwards.
AGATAACCATACTATCATTGGATCCTCATGTGGTGGAGAGCAGAGAACATCTCTCCCATGTTTCTTCCAGTAGGAAAATAACCCCATTAATGAGGGCTCCACCTGCGTGACCTAATGACCTCTCAAAGGCCCAAGCTCCAAATGCCATCACATTGGGAATTTAGGCATCAATATATAAATCTGGAGGGGTGCAAAAATTCAGTCCATAGCAGCAGTGTTTACATATTTTCTGTCTCTACTAATTTCAGGTAGTTTCTCTATCAATTACTGAGAGAAGGTATTAATGACTTCTACCACGAATGTAGAACTATTTGTTTCCCCTTTAATTCTGTTAATTTTTTGCTTCATGTATTTCAAATCTTAGTTGTTAGTGCATATACTTTTTCAATTAGCTGTATGTATTCTTTACATGTTTTTATGTTTTTATTGTAAAAGTCCCTCTAGTTTTGGTAATTTTTAAAATTTTTGTCTAGAATCTATTTTATTTTATCTTATATTAAAATACCACATCAGGAAACCTGGTTGCAGTTCCAATGTATGAAGTGCTGGGAAGTCAATATATCTTTATTACAAAAAACTAAAATTAAAACTAAACAAATTGTAAATCAGTGACATTTTTGGACCAGTTATAGAACTGAGGTTTATGACAAATCACCACCCTGAAATCTGGAGAGACAAGAAAATCCAGAGTCAGAACTTATCTGGAGGTGAAAAGACTAGAAATATAAGCTTGCAGGAACATGTAAAAAGGTAATCTTGAGGAATAGCTGGAGGCCACAAGTGGACTAACTTGAGGTGAGAAACTCCTGGGAGAGGTAATCTGAGAGTACCCTACATTTTCATGGGTTTTATCTTCAGTAATCTTATCAGGGTCTCACAGTAAAGAGCTAAGAAATATTTTCTCCTGGGTCTGGAAGTTGAAAAGTAACCACTGTAAAACATGCCCGGAGTGTTCTCCAAAGCAAACATCTATTCACCAAGGAAAAAGACTTTACTGCAGTCTTATTCTACCCGAGGGTAGGACAATTTTCCCACTCCAGCTTCTTCTGCTTTTCCTGCCTCAACCAAGGGGGTAAACAGAAACTTAAGAAAGTTGTGAGGATCATATGCCAGGGCACAGTTCTACCAAAAGTCTGAGATTTTATCATGAAATAATACAACAGTTTCCCTTTCTCACATCTCTCTGCTACACAAAGAAAGCTTCAGCATGACAGTGGGTTGCAACTGAATGAGCTATAAAACACAGATACTCTCTCAAGAGGAGGGCTTAAGGAGGCCTAAAGTCAACAAGGTAGACCAAAAAACACAATAAAATAAAATAAAATAAAAATTTTTTATAAAAGACATTAGAGAAATTAAAAACCAAAGGCATGTAAATCTATAGCAAATAGTAGAAATGGGCCAACTCTTAGACAAGTTAACATGAAACTACAAAATAAAAGCCTATTACTTCAGTTTCCGTTACCTACTACATCATTTGGGCTTTCAACAAAATATGAGTCATGGTAAAAGACAATAAAAAATAAAGTATGAAAAGCTAAAACAAGCATAAAAACAAGACTCAGGTGACACAGATGTTGGAATTATTGCTGCAGAATTTCTGCTCCTTAGTAGGCTAAATCTGGGTTATTGTGTCACAACCAGAATAACTTAGGCATGCAGACACATTGAAGGGTGAGGGGAGTGGAATTTATTGGGAAAAAAGGGGAAAAAACCCAAAAAACTCTTAGCAAAGCTAGAGGAGTTCCTGCCAGGGGGCTCCCATCTCACAGAATGATTGCAGGTCACCAAATAGGAACTGAAGAGACCAGGCTTCTCCTGGCAAAGGCGAGAACTTCCCATGGCTCCACCCAGTTCTCCCACTTCCCAGGCCAGTGGGAGATTCTCCAGGGACACTCCTCCTAATCTGCCTCCTGCATCTATCATTATCAAACAGAAAATTTAATATAACTATTATATATCTTAATATGTTAAGATCTTTAATGGAAAAGAAAAAGTCATGCAAGAAAATATGGGTAATGAAAGCAGAGGTGGAAGTCCTAAGAATCAAAATAAAATAATAAAAATAAAAAACTCTGTAGCAGAAATGAAAAACACTTTTGATGAGATCTTCACTAGACTTAACACAGCTGTGGAAACAATAAGTGAACTTAAAGATAGATAAAAAGGCCTGTAATCGCAGCACTTTGGGAGGCTAAGGCAGACAGATCACAAGATCAGGAGATCAAGACCATCCTGGCTAAGATGGTGAAACCCCATCTCTACTAAACATACAAAAAATTAGCCAGGCATGGTGGCAGGCACCTGTAGTACCAGCTACTGAGGAGGCTGAGGGAGGAGAATCACTTGAACCTGGGAGGTGGAGGTTACAATGAGCTGAGATCGCACCACTGCACTCCAGTCTGGGTGACAGAGTGAGACTCCGTCTCAAAAAAACAAAAACAAACAAACAAACAAAAATAGATGAAAAGAAACTTCCCCAACTGAAATGCAAAGAGAAAAAAAAATGAACAGAAGAGAACAATATATTCGAGAACTGGGAAACCATTTTAAAAGATGTATCATACGTATAATTAGAACTCAAGAAAGAAAAGGATAATGGAATAGAAGTAAAATTTGAAGTAATATTGTCTAAGTTTGTTTGAAAATTAATCTCAGACACCAAACAACAAATGAAGGAAGCTTACAGAACAGCAACCAGGATAAACACTAAAATGTCTTCACTTAGGAATATCATATGCAAACTTCAGAAAAGCAATAATAAAGAGAATGTCTTGTCAGAACTCAGAAGTGAAAACGTCTAACTCATACAGTTGAAAGGTAAAAATTACAATGGACTTATCATCAGAAACCACATAAGCAAGAAAAAAAACAAATAAAATATTCAAAGTGTTAAAAGAAAAACCTACCAGGCTAATATTCTGTATCCAATAAAATTATCTTTCAAAAATGAAGGAGAAACAAATACATTCTCAGATAATCAAAAAGTTATGGCATTCAATTATTATCAATAGACTCACTATGCAAAAAATGTTTTAAAAATTCTTTCATGGAGAAGAAAAATAATACAAACTGGCAACTCAGATCTACATAAAGAAGGAGAAATATAGAAGAAGGTATACATGAGGGTCAAGTTTAAAAAATATTTTTGTTATTGATGCAAAAGATGTAATAATAATAACAATGTATTGGGTGATAGTAGCATATGGATGAATGGAATGAATAACAATAAATTGTAACGGATTAGAGAGATGAATTAGGTGTAAGTTGTTATAACCTACCCACACTACACATGAAATTTTATACTGCTTTTTAAATTTACCTAAGATTAGTTTAAAATGCATATTAAAAACACTATGACAATTAATGAAACATTTTAACTATAGTCAATTTCCTAAGAGATAAAATATAATCATATAAAATGCACAATTAAAACCACAGAAAGTCAAAATATGCAAATAATATAAGAGCTGGACTGATCCAGGTGGTAACGAATTACAGATGGAAATAAACTCATCTTTAGTTTAACAGATACATATTATTATGTATAGAAATACTTACAGATACGTGTGTATTTATATTTACATAACATATACATACACAAATATGGGTTGGTATTCATATATACATTTCCTTACTCTGCCAACTGAGTGTCTAGATCTGTCAGCTAGAAGCAGTGACATCCAGTAGCAAGCAGCACAGCTAGTGGTCAGATCATGTTTTCTAATACTACTGTCCAAAAAAAGAAACTAGAGATCCATGGAGAAATGGCTGATTCTAAGACTGGGGCAGGATATATGCAGAAGCATTTTATGGTACTAGAAAGTTGTGCTAAACAATAACAGAAACAACAGCAAAATCACCACTGATGAGTGTATGTCAAAGGGACACAGGATCCAATGGAAAGAACTCTCAATGACCATACCTGTAATAATTTGGGCAACAAAATAAGTACAATGATACTTGATTATAGCTCAGAACAACATTAGTATATTTTAGTCTATACTGATATAAGCAAATTATATCAATAAGTACATGGTTGAGAGAAAATAAATTTCCCATGCAGGAAAATTTAACTTATACACATATTCCTTCCTCAAGAAGTTGGATTATAATCTCCCTCCTTAAATGCACATAGTGACTTTCTCTGAATGTGCACAGTATGGAGAGTGGTGGGATTAAGAATGACTTAAGAGTGGATAAAACTAACCAACAATCTTACCTCAGCCAAATAATTGAGGTAAACATAAACAGAGATAAGTCATGTTAATAATATCTACCACTTTACCTCTATGGTGTTTTTCCTAAAACATTGTTTTTAAGTCTATTTGTCTTCACTCATTCGTGCAGCTGTAACAAAATTCTGGAGACGTGGTAATTTATAAAAAACAGAAGTGTATTTCTGACAGTTTAAGAGGTTGGGAAATCCATGATCAAGGTGCTGGCATTTGGATGTGCAACAAGGGCCTTCACGTTACATCCTCACATGGCAGAAAAGATGAAAAGGGCAAAAGGGATGAACCCTGTTTCCTCACATAACAGAACAGAAGAAACTGATCCGACTCCTTCCAGCTCTTTTGTAAGAGCTCTTAACCTATCCATGAGCGCTCCACATTTATGATTTAATCACCTACTAAAGACCTCACCTCTGAACACTATCATATTGGAAATTAAAGCACATGATTTTAAAAACTTTTTTTTAAATTTTACTTTAAGTTCTGGGATACATGTGCAGAACACATGTATTTGTTCCGCAAATACATGGTTTGTATTTGCAGGTTTGTTACATAGGTATACATGTGCCATGGTGGGTTTGCTGCACCCGTCAACCCACCATCTAGGTTTTAAGCCCTGCATACATTAGGTATTTGTCCTAATGTTCTCCCTCTCCTGCCCCCCATCCCCCAACAGGCCCCGGTGTGTGATGTCCCCCCTCCCTGTGTCCATGTGTCCTCATTGTTCAACTCCCACCTATGAGTGAGAACAAGACACATGAATTTTGAAGGACATTCAGACCATAGCATTCCACCCATTGTCCCCACTTTATGTCATTCTGGCATGACGTACATTATTCCATCCCAATAGCCTTGAAAGTCTTAACTTGTTCTAGTATTAACTCAAAAGTCTGATGTCCAGAGTCTCATCTAAATCAGATATGGGCCAGGCATAGTGGCTTACATCTGTAATCCTAGCTTTTATGGAGACCAAGGCAGGAGGATCACTTGTTCAAGACCAGCCTTGGCAACATAGTGAAACCCATCTCTGAAAAAACAAAAAATTCGGATATGGGTGAGACTGAAGGTATGATTTATCTGAGATAAATTGCTCTTCAGATGTGAACAAGTTAAATCAAGCAAGATAGACACTTTCAAAATACAATGGTGGATCAACCATAGGATAAACATTCCCATTCCAAGAGGGAGAGGTAGGCAAGAAGAAAGCAGTAATAGGTAGCAAGTAAGATAAAAGCTCAACAGGGAAAGCAACATTAAGCCTTAAGGTTTGAGAATAATCTTCTTTGACTCCATATTCTGCCTTCTAGACACACTGGAGTGGGGGTTGGACCCCTAAGACCCTTAGCAGCCCTGCCTCCCTGACTTCAGTGTGTACAGTCCATGCGACAGCACTCACGGGTTAAAGTCCAGTACCTGCAGCTCTGCTAGGCTGTTGTTGTATGCTGGTGGCTCTATAGGTCTGGGGTCTTAGCGAGGGCCCTGCCCCCATGGCTTCATTAAGCATTGCCTTAGAGGGGCCTCTGTGCAGTGACTCTGATCCCACAGCTCTGCTGGGCATTGCCATAGTCAGGGATCTAGATAGTATCACTGCCCCATGCAGCAGGTGCCCCTGCAGCACTGCCTCTGCCTCAGCCCCAGTACTCACAAAGAAATCCCTTGCAATCTAGTTAAAGGAAGCTATGTCTCCACAGCTCTTGTACCCTGCATGCCTGCAGAGTGCCATGTGGATGTTGCTAGCGCTTGCCATATGTGCCCATTGTGGGGTGGCCTGAGCTCCAGCTGAGTCCTCTTGAGCCATAGCTGGAGTGGCCAAGGAACCCTGCACCAGAATGCAGGGAGCAGAGACTTAAGGTGGTACTGGGCAACAAGCTCTGAGGTCCCAGGGATGCCCTGGCCGTTGGTGCTCTGGGCTGCTCCCTGGATACCATTCTGCTTAAGGCCCTAGAAATCTGAGGCTGTGATGGACATAGAAGGGTAGATCTCCAAAATGTGTTTAGAGTCATTCTCCCATTGTCTTGATGAATAGCTTCTGGCTTCCTTCTACACATCCTAATTTCCTTATCCCATGGTTGCTTGGCCCCACTTTTGTTTTTCTGTCCTAAACACACTTTTTATTCTTCATACGACCAGGCTGAGAATTTTTCAAAATCTTTTTATTCTTCTTTCCTTTTGATTGTAAGTTTCATCTCTATATTATTTCTCTCTTCTCTTATTTTTATAAGCAGTAAAGAGAAGCCATGTAGCACTCTGAACATTTTGCTTAGAGATTTGTTAACAACAAATATTCTAATTCATTGCTGTTAAATTCTGCCTTCACAAATCCTTAGGGCATGGACACAATTTAGCCAAGTTCTTTGCAACTTTGTAGCAAGAATGGCCTTCTCTCCAGTTTCCAATAAGATATTCCTCACTTCCACCTAGGACCTCATTAGAATGACCTTTACTATCTGTATTTCTACCAACATTTTGTCCATGACCACTTCAACAATCTCTAAGGCTGAGGCTTTCTCTACAGCTCTCATCTTTTTTGGACCTGTCATCAGAATCACCTTTATGGATCTGTTCAGGGTAATACATGTTTTCCCAGCATTCACTTCAAAACTGTTCCAGCCTCTACCCATTATGTAATACTAATGATGCTTCTACATTTTCAGGAATGTTGTAGCAACATTCCCACTCCTTGGTACCAATATCTGTCTTAGTCCATTTACACTACTATAACCAAATACCTGATCCTGCGTAATTTATAAAAAACAGCAATTAATTTTTTGAGATTCTGGAGGGCAGAATAAATCCCAGATTAAGGCAATGGCATTGGTTTATAGTGAGGGTCTTCTTATTGCATACCACAAGGTGGAAAGAGTAAAAAGGTAAAAAAGAGACAAACTCTTTGTATTCACATAGCAGAAGTGCAGAAGGGAGTGAACCCACTCCTTCACATTATTTTTAAGGGCCCTCATCCCATCCGTGAAGGCACTGCCCTCATGACTTAATCTCCTCCTAAAGACCTCACTTCTTAATACGATCACATTGGCAATTAAGTTTCAACACATAAATTTTTGAGAGAAATGGAAACCACAGCCATATTATGAGAAAGACATCAAGCAAATTATAAATGAGAGACATTCTACAAAACACCTGACCAGTACTTCTCAAAAGTACTCAAAATAGTCAAGATCATCAAGAATGAGAAAAGTTTGAGAAATTTTCACAGCAAAGAGAGCCCAAAGAGATATGATGATTAGATGTAATGTGATATTCTTAGTTGGTATCTTGGAAGCTACTCGGGAGGCTGAGGCAGGAGAATCGCTTGAACCCAGGAGGTGGAGGTTGCAGTGAGCTGAGATTGCGCCACTGCACTCCAGCCTGGGCAACAGAACAAGACTCTAGCTCCAAAAAAAAAAAAAAAGTCATTAATTTTGGTTAATTAATTAATTATAACAAATATGTGATACCGATAGAAGACGTTAATAAGTTAATAATAGAAATGGTATGGGGTATATAAGAACTCACTACTATTTTTGTAAATTTATGTTTATCTGAAATTATTCTGGTATTAAAATGTTGAATACATCTCACTCTAGCCTTTTTGTATTTACTGCTAGCGTGGCAAAGACTTTTACTTTTACCTTGTGTCTCTCTATTTAATGGTATCTCTTGAAGGAGGCATAGTAGAATCTTTCTTTGTAACCATTCATCAATCTCTGTTTTATTGGAGTGCATAGATTTAGAATGTCCAGTATATTAGCTTATTAACTAAATGTGGCTATTTAAATTTAAGGTAATACAGTTAAACAAAATTAAAAAGTAATCCCTCAGTCTCACTGGAAATAAGATATATTTCAAGTACTCATCAGCTATTTAGATTTTAACAACTTTAATAGATATAATTATAAAATGTTCAACAGTCACATTTGTATTTTTAAAAACTTAAAGCAAAAGGTAAAGTTTTATATTTATTCAGTTATCATTTGTTTTACATTTTCAAAAATTCATGTCATTCATGAAGATCTTTATCTTTTAATTTTCCTTTAGCCTAAAAATATTTTAGCATTTTCTTTAAATTCATCTGTAAGTGATAAATTATTTTAGATTTCCTTCACCTGAAAATTTCTTTTCTTCATCATCATTCCTAGATAATATTTTCACTAGTTACACAAGTCTTTGATTGACTTTTTTTTTTTCTTTCAGCACTTTAAAATTTTCTCCACTTTCTTCTGGCCTCAATGTTTTCTGTTCAAAAGTTAGGTTGTTCAAGTAGTTTTTTTCCCTGAATGTAATGTATCATATTTCTCTGAATGCCTTCAAAATTTCTCTTTTATCTTTCGTTTTCAGCAGTTTTAATTAAGTTGTGCTAAAGACTTACAGTACCCCCACCATTTAATCCATTTCTGCACAAATTTTTGTCCTGCACTGAAATGTTTTCTCTTCTGTACTGTCCTTCCTTAATAGTTCCTAATTCCTCACATCCAGCTTACTTCTGTTCCCCTCATTTAAGTCTTTCTTATCATCCTTGGAAAGCAGGTAATTCTGTTTTTCTTTCATTTTTTTTAACCAGCTTTTTACCAGAGCTTGCAAAGATATTCATTATCATACTTATCATTCCACATTTCATTTAAACATGTCTATCTTTCTAAGTGTAAGTTCTTTGAAAGAATTAAAAATACCTAATTTATCACAGAATCACCTACTACATGTTATGTCTAATAACAATGGTTCAATGAATTCCGTTAAGTGAACCAACATGAATATTAAGGCTGATGCCAGCACCACATGCATCAAAGGGGATAACATGTACCCACACAACCCACAATGTCAGCCATTTAACAAAATGCATATTTATTTGTCACTCATCCCATAATTCATTATGTGAATATGCCAAAGGACACATAAGATTGGGAGGCAAAAATAAGGTTCTGTAGCAATCACAGAAGCAGGGGTTTTCCACGTAGTGGCTGCATTATTAGTCTTTAGATTTTCACCAGATTCTCTGCATCTAACTGGCCAATAAGAATCTATAGAGAGTGCAGAGTATAACCCCAAAGATTTGAGAAGCCAGAGCTGTGAGTGGTTTACATCACTTGTGTCCACGTATTAGTCTCTCACACTGCAATGAAGAACTACCTGAGCGAGGTGGCTCACACCTGCAATCCCAGCACTTTGGAAGGTCAAGGCAGGTGGATCACCTGCGATCAGGAGTTCGAGTCCAGCCTGAACAACATGGTGAAACCCCATCTCTACTAAATACCAAAAATTAGCCAGGCATGGTGACACATACTTGTAATCACAGCTACTCGGGAGGCTGAGGCAGGAGAATCGTTTGAACCCGGGAGGCAGAGGCTGCAGTGAGCTGAGATTGAGCCATTGCACTCAAGCCTGGGGCACAAGAGTGAAACTCCGTCTTAAAAAAAAAAAACAACTACCTGAGACTGGGTAATTTGTATAACAAATTGACTCACGGTTCTGTAGTCTGTACAAAAGTATGCTGGGGAGGCCTCAGGAAACTTACAAATGTAGTGGAAGGTGAAGGGGAAAGCAGTCATGTCTTACATGGCCGTAGATGGAGGAAAAGAGAGAGAAAGGGAGTGCTACACAGTTTTAAATAACCAGGTCTTGTGATAACTCACACACTATAATGAGAACAGCAAGGGACCCATCTGCCCCCATCATCCAGTCACCTTCCACCAGGCCCCTCCTCCAAGACTGAGGATTACAATTCAACATTAGATTTGGGTGGGGACACAAATCTAAACCATATCACTTAGTTTCATAGAAATGTCTTTGTTCATGTCTTATTATTCTATCTCTTTTCAAAACAAAATTGAGGAACTTCTGCCTTAACCATGATTGTCCAGGAATTGCTCTCCCATTATAAACAACTAGAAAACTACAATCTACTGTTTTAATATATTGGACATCACAATACGCAACATAGGGATGTGGTCACAGAGGGAAAGTAAGCAAACAGTAAAAACTATGATTATCCAAGTGCATTGTCTGGATGCCATTTGCAAGCCACAGAGCAAGAAGGGAAAGCCACAGAGTCTAAAAGTCTCACTGAGTCTCCTTAGGAACCTACTGTTTCCTAAGGAGCCCAAGAAGCTACAATTTTCATGACAGTACTGCAGAAGACAGAACTGCACAGAGAGAGCTCTAAAGATCTTCATGGAGGGTGAGGGAGCGATATTTCCTTAAAGGCTTTGTTTATGTACTGATCTGCTCATGTGTGAGAAAAAACTACATCTTACTGGGAGAAAACCACCAGAAAGCAACAGACTAAATAATTCTAGTCGCTGATGCATAGCTGGAAGTATTTTATATTCACATCTAGCCAGACTGAAGGGACTTCATCATACATAGGCAATGAGTGGATTCCTCAGAAAGGTCACACCATAGTATGGAGCTAAATTAAATATATAATAAATGCTGCTCTGGATCTACCCTAATTAAGCAAGTCTCAATTTTAGCAAACTAATTGCAATTAACTTAAGTGTGAGCCAGAACAAGTCCAACACTCTTTAAACAACTTCATTAAGACCCAGGTCCCATTGATGAAAACATAAAATATCCAATATTCAATCTGAGTATTTGAAAACAGCATAGCTCAGTGCAGGTGAGGGATTCATTAAATGTGATAAATTGTCATTTACTTTTTTTTTCAGAAAATGTTGAAAACATGATTTAACATAAAATTTAATAAATTGCAATGCATATTATACTTTTTAGGTAAATGCTAAGAATATAAGAATAAAATTTTACAAAACAAATTTAGGAGATATAAGAAAATAATTAAAATTATGATAAACTGAAAGAAGACAAGAAGGAGGGATAAAAATTACAAACCAATGAACAAAAATGGAAAGCAAAAAACAAGATTGTGACTTAAACTGAATTAATGTTAGTGAATTCATTAAATTTATACAGAAGAAGATTTCCAAGTAATATCCAAAGATTATCAGAATAGTTAAATAAATTAAGCAAAAATTTTCTGCTATACACAGGAGGCAACTTTTAAATATAAGAATACTAAATGTTTAAAAGATAGAAAAATATATCCCATACAAATAGCAAACAACAAAAAACTAACATAGCTATATTAATACCAGCCACCATATATATACAGACAAGAAGTATAGAACAGAGAAAAAAAGAATCTTAATAACAGCATGTGATAAACAAAAAGTATCTCTATCAGAATCTTGTGCCAAAATTCTATAGAAGTACAAGTGATACAAAAGTGGGGAAGGGAAGCGCTGGGAAGGAAAGGGCATGGTACCTTTAAATGATACAGAAGTTGGGTAGGGCATGATCCCTGGCTAGGGCTCCACCCCCGGGCCTGTGCCCACGAACCTAGGTGAGTACAGGCATTTTTGTTTTTCTGGCCAAAGGTTGCATTTCCCAAGACCACCCTCGCCTGCCATGCCCCCATCCTGTGCCTATAAAAGCCCCTAGACCTTAACAGGCGTCTGCGCCTTCGGGAGGCGGCTGGACTTCGGGAGGAGCACATCAGCAGAGGCACACACGGGCAGCTGGATGTCGGATAGGAGCACATCAGCAGGCACTGGTATGCTGGTAGGCCATCAACCAGCAGAACAACATGAAGTTTGGCTGAGACAGTCAGAGGAGAGCCTGGGCCACTGAGCAGACCAACTCCAGGGAAAAACCATCTCCCTTCTGGCTCCGCCATCTGCTGAGAGATACTTCCACTCAGTATAACCTTGCACTCATTCTCCAAGCCCATGTGTGATCTGATTCTTTTGGTATACCAAGGCAAGAATCCCAGGTTACAGAAAGCCCTCTGTCCTTGCAATGAGACAGAGGTCTAATTGAGCTGACTAACACAAGCCACCTGTGGACGGCTAAACTAAAACAGCACCCTGTAACACATGCCCACTGGGGCTTCAGCTGTAAACATTCACCCCTAGTCACTGCCGTCGGGTTGGAGCCCCACGACCTACTGGTCTGTATGCTCCCCTAGAGGTTTGAGCAGTGGGGTACTGAAGAAGTGAGTCACACCCTCATTGCACGCCCTGCTATGGGGACACAGGAGCTTCTCCCATTCAACTGGGGGCTCACTTGGGATATTGGGAGCCAATGCAAAACTGCTGGGTCTGCCTTTCTTCCAAAACCCTGCCACCTTGCTTTCTTTCCAGCAAGCAAGAGGCTCTGTTTTCCTTTCACCTTTTTTCTCTCTCTCGGTTTGAAATGGCTCTTATCTTTTCCTTTATAATGTTAAGAGTTTTGCTACAGGCTGCGGCAATGTTACTAAGTAAAATAAGCATTCGGCTCAGCTGCCAAAGTTGCAAATCAGACCAACTGTTCCTGGAGGTGGCATGTATGCCTCCGCCTCGACAGCCACAGGCACACACAGCTCAGGGCACCTCTCCTTATCCTTTCCCCTCCGAGATGAGGTGCCTAGGTGTGCCCACCGCAGGCAAAAGGCTGAGCCCAACAGCCACGAGAGGGACAGGAGAAAACCTGTGGCAGCCGGGACCCTACAGCTTGCTTCTTGCTGGTCACACCAACAGAACCTTTCCTCTCCTGGTCAAAGAATTCAACCTGGTCTGAACCATGGGAAGGATGGGAAAGTTATAAGGATTAGAGGGGCCCACTTGCACTAAGCAAGGGGTTCTTCCCACAGAATCTCCCCCCCTTTGGCCCCATAAACTGTTTTTCTCTTTTTTTCTTTTCTAAATGAGAGTGCGCCCCCTCTCAGCTCTGTTTTTGATAGGGAAGTTAAGGAAGGAGAGACTCCTGCTGGCTGCTAACTGCAAATTCGGCAGGGCTTATCTGAGACACTAAATGGATACAAAAAGCCTCTGTAATACCTTTTCAGTCTCAAACTCGATTCCAACCTTCAGGCTGAGGCCCTAGAAAAAAAAAGACCAGTTCCGAGGGATCCAAAGCCAGGCAACAGGCACAATGTAAACGGGAAGCACCAATTCCTGCCGACTGAACCTCACCCAATGGAAAAAGGCCATGCTCCATGGTATAAACAGGCCCAGGGAACTCAAAATTTGCTGACAGCAAGGAGAAAGGGAGGCATAGGTGAGGGCAGTTAATTCCTATTCTCCAGGTTTTCCCTGCTTCACGGGTACATACTGCATATAGGTACCTATAGCCGGCACCTGCCAAGGTTGCCGGGGCTCGGCAACCCAGATCTTTGCTAGCAATGTAGGATTGATCCAGCCCTCCTATTTGCCATCTCAGGGAAGGATGCAAGGGGCAAGCCCAGGGAATTAAAAATAGGAATCCCAGAAGCACTCCCAGTGGGGGAGCCAGCTCCCTGAAGCCCTGCTCCTCCAGGTCTACCACAACCTCCCTACACAGCTTCAGACTCTCACTTGCCCCCTCCTAGAAATCCTCACTCGGAACAAGCCCCAGTCTCACTCTTGCCCCTCCATCAGATGCCTATTGAATTTGGGCCCAGTAAGATTCAGGACCCCTTCTCCCTACAGGATTTAAAGCAAATTTAGGGGGATCTTGGCAAGTTTTCAGATGACCCTGATAGATATATAGAGGTTTTCCAGAATTTCACCCAAATATTTGAACTCTCCTGGAGAGACATTATGTTACCTTTGAATCAGATCCTAACAGGCACTGAGAAGCAGGTCACTCTGCAAGCAGCAGAGAGATTTGGGGATGAGCTTTGTATCACATATAGCATGAGGAAAGGGGGTGAATAGTATCCAACTGGAAGAGAAGCAGTACCAGGCAATGACCCTAAATGGGATCCCAGTGATGAGATGGAAGCCTGGAAGAGGAGACACTTTCAGGTGTGCATAATGGAGGGCTTATGTAGGACTAAGACCAAGTCTCTCAATTATACTAAACTGTCGATGCTTGACCAGGTATTTGATGAAAATCCCACTGCCTTTCTAAAAAGACTAAGAGAGGCCTTGGTAAAGCACACCTCTCTATCTCCTGATGTAGTCAAGGAATAGCTAATCCTAAAGTTTATTACTCAGGAAGCTCCTGATATCAGGAGGAAGTTGCAGAAATGGGCCCCGGGACCAGATAGTACATTAGAGGACCCTCCTGAAAATGGCCACCTTGGTCTTTTATAATAGAGACGGGGAGGCCCAGGAAAGAAAGAGGAGATACAGGAAAGAGGCAGAAGTTTTAATGGTCACTGTGCAAGCCCACAAACCCCAGAGTTCCTAAGGTACACCTGTTAACTGCTAAACTATGGCAAGAAGAGTTATCTCTCTTCTAAAGTTTATCCACTCCCATACAAGGTTTAATTTCTTTCACCAGGGTGAAACAGCTTGGGGTAGAATGTTGTTGTTAGTATATTTCATGTTTTTCTCTGTAATCTTTGGCACTACATTCTTGCCTTGTATAATACACATGTTTAACCCATGCATACTTAACCTTATAAAACTTGTTTCTTTTTTTTTTTTTCCTCTCATGCCTAGAAGCCATTGGCTGCTCTTTGCAAGGAATCCTTAGACAGACCTCTGGGAGGAATCTGACTACTGTTTTCCCCAAAACAATACGCCATCAGCAGGAAGCGGCTAAGACCAGTCATCATCCATATTTTAAAGGCAGTTACACGTACTTCTTCAGAGGGGGAAAATGATATGGAAGGGAGGAAGGGAATTGCTGGGAAGGGAAGGGCATGGTCCCTTTAAATGATGCGGAAGGGGTAAAGGGCATGGTCCCTGGCTAGGGCTCCACTCCCGGGCCTGTACCCATGGACCTAGGTGAGGACAGGAATTTTTGTTTTCCACCCAAATGTTGCATTTCCCAAGACCACCCTGGCCTGCCACACCCCCATCCTGTGCCTATAAAAACCCCAAGACCTTAGCAAGCAGACACACAGGCATCTGGACGCCAAGAGGACCACACCAGCGGAGGAACGCACCGGAAGCTGGACTTTGAGAGGAACGCACCAATAGGCACCAGCATGCCGGCAGGCCACCGACCGGCAGAAAGATGCAGAGTTTGGCCAGGGCAGTCGCAGGAGAGCCCAGGCCACCAAGCAGCCCAACTCCAGGGGAAAACCATCTTCCTTCTTGCTCCCCCGTCTGCTGAGAGCTACTTCCATTCAATAAAACCTTGCACTCATTTTCCAAGCCCATATGTGATCCAATTCTTTTGGTACACCAAGGCAAGAACCCAGGGATACAGAAAGCCCACTGTCCTTTAGGCAGGGGTCTAACTGAACTGATTAACACAAGACACATGCCCGCTGCGGTTTCAGCTGTAAACATACCCCTAGACGCTGCCTTGGGGTCAGAGCCCTATAGCCTGCCCATCTGTATGCTCCCCTAGAGGTTTGAGCAGCAGGGCACTGAAGAAGCAAGTCACACCCCCATCACACACTCTGCTAGGGGAAAAAGGGAACTTTTCCTATTTCACAAGGTAACCCTAGCCATACAAATCCAGTTATATATAGCTAAATTCAACAGATTGAGCATTTGAAAGAGAAATCATCTACATTCATGGTTGTATATTTTTAACTTACCTCTTTGAGTAGATGATAGAACAAGAGAAAGTAATTCATTAAGAATGAAGTAGATTTAGAAAACAAATTAACAAATTTGAACTAATTGACTTTTTAGTATATGTATCTGTGTTTCTATAAAATGATATAATGTCCCACTAAACAAGTCAAGATTATATATTTTTCCAAGTGAACGGACAACTATTACCAAAAGTGACTATAAATCTGCTTATGAAATGTCTTGAAAATGTAAAATAATTGAAATTTCACAGAGTAGTATCTCTGAGTACAATAGAATTAAACTAGAAAATACCAACAAAATAAAACTCTCATATGATCCCAAATTTGCTAATTAGGTTACACATTCCTAAATAACTCACATGTCAAAGAAGAAATCTTGGGGAAAATAGTTGAACCAAAATAAAACTGAAAATATATCAAAACTTTGTGAGGTAAAAATTGAGTTCGGGAATGGTAGTGTAAATAAAATAAAGCCATTCTCCTTTGCTGATTACAACTAAAACCTCTAGGGAAGAAAGGAAAGGAAAGGCTGGGCTCGATGGCTCACGCCTGTAATGTTACACTTTGGGAAGCCAGGAGGTGGAGGCTGCAGTGAGCAGAGATCGCGCCACTGTATTCCAGCCTGGGTGACAGAGCAAGAGACTCTGGAAAGAAAGACAGAGAGAGAGAGAGGAGGAGGCAGGAGGAGGAGGAAAGGAAGGAAGGAAGGAAATGAGGATTCTAAAAAGTACACAAAAATGGAAGATTGTGGACATGAATCAACACTTGAGTTGGTAACATAAAAATATCAGAAATATTAGATATCTGGGAAAAGTTTTTCAGAGAAATATATCAAGAAAAACATTGAAAATATTAAGTAGAAGTGGAAAAGATTCAAGATTAAATAGTTATGATTGCAAAAGCAAAAACTTAAATCACTATTTAAAACAAAAATTATAACACAGGCATGTAGAGTTTAGATGTATGCAAATACAATTCATCTGACAGTGATAAAATGAAAGATGATAAGGAAAGATTTAAATGGAAGTTTTCTACATTTTATGACAAGTGATACAATATTAATATTTAGAAGACTGTGAAAAGATTAGGTATTATATTGTGTTTCTTAGGGAGAGCATTAAAGCTGTATACAAAAAGTAGAGGTAAAACGATGAGACACTGGAATGGCTAAACTCCAGAATACTGACAATAACAATTGCTGACGAGCATGTGGAGCAACAGAAACTCCCAGTCATTGCTGGTTGGAATGCAAAACTAAAAAAAAAAAAAGACAGTTTGGCAGTTTCATATAGAACAAAACATACTCTAACCATATTATCCAGTATTCATGTTCCTTGATATTTACTCAAAGGAGTTGAGTTCATATGTCCATATAAAACCCATACACAGATACTAATAGCTCCTTTTTCATAATTGCTAAAACTTGCAACCAAGATGTCCTTCCATAGGTGAAGGAATAAATAAAATGTGCTACATCCAGACAACAAAATATTATTCAGTGCTAAAAAAATGCGCTGTTATGACAAGAAAAGACAGGGTAGAAACTTAAATGCATATTACTAAGTAAAAGAGGACAATTTAAAAACCCTACATACTGTTCCAACTCTACAACATTCTGGAAAAGGCAAGAGCAACATATTGCCTTCTGCTTTGAGGCCTGAGTACATAATATTGTTTCTCCCTGAGACACTCTGTCTTACTGTTCACCTAGCTAATTCCTACATTTGATTCTCATCAAAATTTAAATATTATCACTCAGAGGAATCTCCCCAAATCCCCAGTGCAAATTAAGCAATATTTTTATCCTTGTACTTATCACAATTTTTGTTATACATGCATTTGTATAAATATTTATATATGTCTAAGAATACATCATCAAACAGATATACTTTTAAGTACCTGTAAATAACAATCTTAATTCATTATTTTTACATAAGCATGATATTTCCATTAGTACCTAATAAATTGCACCAACAAAATTTAGCACTTTAACTCTTAAATTCTAATTTGTAAAGAGCTGTGGCCCATCGTACTTGGGCCAAAAATATGTTCTTTAAGGTAAAATTTTATCCTTGTTATTTAGTCTTAATTATTTCACTGTGAATCCTTTAACGTATTAGTAAAACAATTGTATGGAACTGCAGAAATCTTCCAAGTTTATTTACACCTAAAATTATTCGACTGCTATTTTGGAAGCTTTTAATTTATTCATTTGAAAAGGAAATGAAAGATGAGGGGAGACATCTGAAAAACTCACATATAATTGATTCATTATTGTTTTCTCTTATATGCTCATTTATTTTTTCCCAGTTTTATCTTTTTTAGTCAATTGATTATCCAAACATTTTAGATAAAATAGTGCTAAATGTAAGAGAATATCCACAATATAAATTTTTCAACACTTTTGTTTCCTAACCACTCATCTACACCAACATATGTGCACGGATGCATGCCATGGTTAATTGTATGTGTCATCCTGACTGGGCTAATGGATGCCCAGATAGCTGGTAAAACATTATTTTGGGGTGTGTCAATGAGGATGTTACTGGATGAGATCAGCACTTGAGTGGATTGAGTGAAGAAAGTCACTCGAAGTATGCATCTTCCAATTCCTTGAGGGCCTGAATAGAACAAAAGGTGGAGAAAGGGCAAGTTTGCTTCCTGTTTGTGCTTGAGAAATCCATCTTCTTTTGCCCACCCTTGCACATTGCTGCTCCTGGTTCTCATATGTTCAGACTGACTGAATCACGCCACTGGCTTTCCTCTGTCTTCAGATTATATATCTATCTATATCTATATCCACATCTATAGCTATATCTATCTGTCATCTATTTATCTATCTATCATCTATCATCTGTCTATATATAGGTTCTGTTTCTCTGGAAAATGTTGGCTAATTCAGTACATATATCACATATGCCCTTCAGTATACATATGCAAGCACACATATATATGCATGCACAGACTCACACGCACACACACATAGAGCCAAGCTTTTCATTCACAGCATTAAGAAACATTTTGAATAAAAAATTCTTAAGAAATTCAATTTAAGTATTTGCCAGAGGAATTTTTTTTCAAATGTCAAAATATTGCAAAATAATAGACCTTAAGGATATGGGAAAATCAGAACAAAGCCTGTTATATTTGCTCTTGTAATTCTACCTAGGAGAATCTAATAAACTCTGCAATGAGAGCATATGTTATAAGCTAAAGCTAATATCTGACACCATAGAGATGCAAACAATGAAACACTTCCTACATTTCAATGAAGAGAACTGTTCTGTCATCCGTTTTATACAAAATTACTAACTGGCAGAAATTATGTACTTATGAGGGATGCCAATACACTGGCAAAATACAGTGAGTATTTTCATCTCAAAACTCCCAAATTTTTTTTTTACAGCTTGGTCTTGCCTTGTTTTAATAGGATTCATTTTATCCTTGGTGATACAATGCTGTTTCAGCAAGAAGTGATCACTTATCAGGCAAATTAAATTCCTACTCAATTTCCTTAACAATAACTCAAAAGCATGGATATCAGCACTTTGGGATTCAAGGAGAATTTATTACAAGTGAGACAAAAGTTTTATCTGTATATGTAACACATTTTGATGAATACTAAAATATTTGTAAATGATTACAGGGTTCATTTCAGCTGTAATATACCAAAGTATATTAGGAGTAAACAAATGTCTCTCATTTCAATTATCAGTTACATATTGAATATTTTTCTACCAAGAGAAAAGCAAGTTCTACAAATTATTTTAATTTTTATTTTCTCTGTTGATGATTACTGGAGCAAACAAGCACAGACAAATGTAGTGGGTTGCTTATTTCTTTACATGACTATTTAAAATAATTGAGTCAATTATTAGGCATAAAAAAAGTACAAGAAAATTGTTTTATGATAGCTACTAGAGCTAACAATTCACTGAAACAGATAATTGAACACCAGTAATATACTAGGTCTTACCTTGGATCCAGATTTAGGTGCATTACCATAGAGGATGCAAGTGAAAGATTGTGCCCTCAAAAGATAATGTTCCTTAGGATGTCAGCTATAAGAAATGAAAATAAAACTCTCTTGATTCGGAGTTGGTAAGGTCTATCAAGCTATCAACCATCCATATATCTAAAGTTAACCATAATACAAATGTCTTTCCTAGGTCCTTTAGAGTTAATACTGCTTTAAAGGAAATTTGAAAATTTACTGAAATCAGATTTTTTTTCTTGCTTTTATTCCCCTGGTTCAGTATAGTACAGCTTAGACAAAATAGAAAGATTCATATATTTGGGCTTATTCAGATTTCAACCTAAAATTAAATTATTTTAAATTGTTAAATGTACTTTATGCAGTGCATTTGCAGGAATCCTCAATGCCCAGGTTCTTTAAAAGTTTTATTCTGTTAAAGTTATAGGAATATTCCTAGTTCCAACATAATACCTTGCTTTTTGTTTTTAAAATCCTTGTTAAAATGTTAGTCTTACTTGGATTGTATAACCAAGCCATAATAGCATGATTTAATTTTACTTATAAAGAGAGCTGGGTTCCCAACTAAGCCCTAAGGAAACATAACACAGGATGTGCCGGGTAGGGACAGTAGTCTTGGTTCAAATACCAATCTATCTCTTTTACACCACGTTTTCAAAAATTTTCATGAATCAGTGTTTCTTCATTTGTTATTTCTTTTAATGACCATTTCTAGAGACGTGTGTGTGTGCGTGCGTATGTGTGTGTATTTTCACCAGTTCGATTGTAGAGTGAGTCAGCAGAGGTCCTCACATTGTCATGCTAGAATCCTCCAAGTTCTTTATCAGAAGTAGTTTTTCCAACAAATAAGGTTTTTTTTACTATGTATAGAAGGTAAAGTTTGCCACCATCAAGAGTTATACTCTCTTGTCTAGGAGTTTACTGGTTTATATGTTCATAAATTCAAACAGCCTTTTGTTTCAGTCTCATGTCACTTTTAAGACATGCTTCACTATTATGCTGAAAAGCCATATACTAGTAATGTATCCTGTTCATTCATATTTTTTTTAGAAACCAAATGAAATACTCTTTTTTAGTCTTTTTTAGGTTGTTCTCAAGCTTTATTTTTTTCCAGGCTATTTATCACCAACCATCATTTCCTTACCAGGATGTATGGAAGTAGATATAACTAACTTTGTTTAGAAAATTTTGTAGTAATAACTGTGGAAAATAATAGTAAACTTTGTTCAAGAACCAACAATGAGAAATATTTAGCACATGTAAATAAGTGAGTACTTTAACAGGCATTTTCCTCTATAGTGAGAATGCTGGAGTGTTAACATGACACTTGCTCCACAAATGCAATAAAGAATTATTGGTTTTTGAGTCTGCATTGAGCACTTCAGACACTTCAGGCTGTTTGTAAAAAATTAAAAACAAAGGGGAAGTGTTGACTAATATAAATCCAAGCAGATTTAACCCAAATAAGATTACTTCAAGACGTGTAATTATCAAACATTGCTCAGTTGCTGGATCTGTAATATAATTAAGTGAGAACAACTTCAACGGAATGCAATTCTAACCAGTTTGAAACTCAAATAATCCTTGGTGGTTTCATCTAATTCAGCTACTTACTTATCAGAAGGACTTTTTTTTACCATGAGATATTTAAGTAATATTTACATCGACTATTGAACATTTTCCTCCGTAGTTCATCAAAAGAGGAGATGGCTCAGCTTGATTACTTTTTTTAATTTTTAAATTTTTTTATTTTTTATTATTATACTTTAAGTTTTAGGGTACATGCGCACAACGTGCAGGTTTGTTACATATGTATACATGTGCAATGTTGGTGTGCTGCACCCATTAACTCATCATTTAACATTAGGTATATCTTCTAACGCTATCCCTCCCCCCTCCCCCCACCCCACAACAGGCCCCGGTGTGTGATGTTCCCCTTCCTGTGTCCATGTGTTCTCATTGTTCAATTCCCACCTATGAGTGAGAACATGCAGTGTTTGGTTTTTTGTCCTTGCGATAGTTTGCTGAGAATGATGGTTTCCAGCTTCATCCATGTCCCTACAAAGGACATGAACTCATCCTTTTTTATGGCTGCATAGTATTCAATGGTGTATATGTGCCACATTTTCTTAATCCAGTCTATGATTGTTGGACACTTGGGTTGGTTCCAAGTCTTTGCTATTGTGAATAGTGCCGCAATAAACATACGTGTGCATGTGTCTTTATAGCAGCATGTTTTATAATCCTTTGGGTATATACCCAGTAATGAGATTGCTAGGTCAAACGGTATTTCTAGTTCTAGATCCCTGAGGAATCGCCACACTGACTTCCACAATGGTTGAACTACTTTACAGTCCCACCAACAGTGTAAAAGTGTTCCTATTTCTCCACATCCTGTCCAGCACCTGTTGCTTGATTTCTTAAGTTGTAGTCACCCCAGAATTTTGATATGTCATAAACCATGTGAAATGGACCTTCAGAGGGACAATTTACTTGAGTTACCGTAAAACTTGATAAAGAAATTCATCAAAGAGATGAAAAGTGTGGATTTATGTAGTGCAAACTGTAAAATAAAACACAATATTATACATCTCTTCCATTGTGCCAGGTATACTGAAGTACTATATTTTTATTGTACATTTAACACTAAAACAAAGATGATAAGGTTAAATAAAAACAAATACCTAATGAATTGATAGAATTGTTAGTTTATTTGCACAATGAAGGAATAATGTAGGATAAAAGAGTGATTTTAGAAAAGATGGTCAGAGAAGTATTTTCTGAAGCAGTAGCATACTAAGTGCTCACTTAAATAAAGTGAGGATGCTATAATGAAAATGTCTTATAGACTATTATACCAAGCAAAGAGAATTGTATCATTAAGCTATTGCTATGTAACAAAGCCACCCCAGAACTTGCTGACTCAAAACAATTAGCATTTGTTTAATTCATGAGTTCATGGGTCTTTGGATCATTCTTTTAGTCTAGGCCAACTTTGGATGATACTATCTAGGTGGGCTCTGCTATACACCTGTTTCAGCTGCCAGGTAGATGGGAGTTGACTAATCTAGGATTGGCTTGCAAGATTATATCAGCTCTACTCCACCTCCAGCTCCCTCATTCTTTATCATGCTAGCTCATTATTGAGGTTCAAGAAAGAGAGGAAGGTACTCAAAGGTTCTTGAGGCCTACATTTTTAACTAATCTTCCATCACTTTCATTACATTCTTTTGGCCTAGGAAAATCACAAGGTCAGCCTAAAGTCATGGGCTGAAGGAAGGAGACTATGTGTTGCTGGAATGAGTGGCAGAATCATTTTAGAAATGATACAGATAGGAGTGGATACAGATAGGAGTTAAGAATTATAGTTATTTTTGTAATCAATCTATTATAAAAAAAAACTACCTGAAAAGTTCTTGAGTCAAAAATATGATTCACATGTCCAGGAACTGTCAATGAGATCACTGTGACTAGAATACAGTAATCAAAGTGGATTAAGGCATAAGTTCAGAGAGGATATCAGAGGATGTAAAGTCTCTTGTAATCAGTTTAGATTTTATTGCAAGTGTTACAGGAAACTGTCGAAAGTTGAGAGTAGGGCATTAACCTGATTTGATTTACATTTTTTAACTTGCATTTTTGAAATATCATTATTGCTCTTATTTGAGGAATTTGCTGTAAGGGCCCAAAGTGGAAGCAGTGAAACCAGTTGAGAAGTGATTACATAAGATAGACAAAAGATTACAGAAGATTGGTAACAAATGGATGATGCAAGGAGAACTCACGCTGGGGATAAACTTTACATGTGGATGGATGAGAGAAACAGCGTGAAAGAGAAAAATCAGTCAGGAATCACTAGTTTATAGTAATTACCTCTGCTCATCACTTGTTCCTACTTTAAATCACTTTGTTCACTGGCTTTTGTTATAACACACGTTCCCCTTTATTTGTTCATTTGCTTTGGTTTTTCTCATTCTTTTTGTTTCACTAGCTGCTCTGTTTCAGCCACTTTGCCAATGGCTATGCATCCCATCACTCCTTAAATGTTTAATTTCCACAAGATATGTCCTATATTATTTTATTATCTACAATGAATATCCTTTCCTAGATTACCGTACCATTTTTATGGGTTTGTTGTTAATCTCTTTTTTTTATATTTACACTAGCCCTGACATTTCCTCACACTGTCCAAAAAAAAAAAAATCCTGAGCCTATTTTATATCCCCATTTAGTTGTCTTATAAGCCCTTTAAAACTAATGTGAACAGAACTAAATTCATTTATTCCCCCCTACAGACCTGATTCTTTTCACTTATCCTGCGTACTACCTTGATCAATATATTTTCTTACACCAGAAATCTGAATGTAATAATTAATCTCTTTATCTTTTACCTTTGAGTCCACAGCTAATCAATTCCATATTATGTCCATGCTATGCCACAAAATCTCTATAATCCATTCATTTTTCCACATTTATACTTTTCCCATTTGATACTCTTCAGCAATCACCTGTAATACAGCACTAATTTCTTATGAATTATTCTTAATTCCACTATATTCTATATACTGTGGCAAGAATAATTTTACCATTACAAATTACCTAAGTCAATCCCATGATTAACATATGGTGTGTTATTATGTACATAGATTTTATGTAATGGGTAATCAATGTATTAAACAAAATCTCATTCTTTAAGAATAAATACCATAGTCTACAAGAACAACTTCAAAGTTTCAATGTAATTTACAATTTCTTTCACAGCCTTATATCATGCCATGCTTCCCATTAGCCTGTATTCTTCACACCATCATACTTTCGTTTCCTTAGTTTTGTTTAGCTCATGTGCATCTCCACCTCCAGGTTTTGTCATGTTTTGTTCTCACCATATGAATTACTATTTTTCATATTTCCCATACCCTAGCCCCACACAAATAAGTAATGTATACAACTAACTTCTATTAACTGATTAAAAACTATTTAGCATAAATTAAGTGGTAGAAATGTGAAATCTTGACTCACAGAAAAATACAACATATTATAACACTGTAATTGTAGTGTGTAAACTAAACTACTAATATCTTGAGTAGGAAAACAAAAAGAGAAACCTATCAAAAGTAATATCTTTGACAACTTTTTAAGGCATAGACAGTATAATAACATTTAAACAGAAACAAAGACAGTTTAAAAGTGGAGGAAGCTGAAATTAATATGTAGAGTTTCTGTTAGTTTTTCCTTCTTGTTTGTTTGTTAATTTTTGCATCAGAGTTTAGTTGTTATCAGTTTAAAATAATGGATTATAAGATGGTATTTGAAAGTCTCATGGTAACCTCAAATTAAAAAAAATAAAAACCTACAACAGATACACAAAAACTAAAAAGCAAGAAATTCAATAATACCATCAGAGAAAATCACTTTCCTAAAAAGGAATACAGGAAAGAAGGAAGAAAGAGACGACCACAAAACAACCAGAAAACAAATAACACAATGGCAGGAATAAGTCCTTATTATCAATAATATCATTGAAGGTAAATGTGCTGAACTCTTTAATCAAAATATACAGAGTGGCTGGATGAATAAAAAAGCAAGACCCATCTGCTTCCTTCAAGAAGCACACTTCATGAATAAAGACACACACAGACTGAACATAAAAGGATGGAAAATATGTTCCATGCAAATGGAAACTACAAAAGGAAGGAGTAGATATATTTATATCAAATAAAATAGATTTCAAGAAGAAAACTATAAAAAGAGACAAGGAGGGTCATTATATAATGATAAAGGAGTCAATTCAACAAGAACATATAACAACTGTAAATATATATGCATCCAACAATGCAGTACCCATATATATATATATAAAGCAAATATTATTAGAGCTAAAGAGAGATATAGACTCACATACAATCAAAGCCAGAGTTTCCAATGCCACACTTTCAGCATTGGGAAGAGCATCCAGATAGAAAATCAACAAAGAAATATTGAACTTAATCTGCACTATAGATCAAATGGACCTAAGCTATTTACAGAAGGTCTTATCCAATGGCTGCTGAATGTGTACTCTTCTCCTCAGCACATGGATTATTCTTAAGGAGAGACGTTATGTTATGCCACATAAAAGTTTAAAAAAATTCAAAAAATTTGAAATCATCTCACATATCTCCTCTGATCATAATGTAATATAACTAGAACTCAATAACAAAGAATTTTAAAACTATACAGATACATGGAAATTAAACAATATGCTTCTAAATCATCAGTGGATAAAGGAAATAAGAAGAAAATGAAAGTTTTTTGAAAAAAATAAAAATGGAAACACAGCATACCAAAGCCTAAGTGATACAGCAAAAGCAGTACCAAGAGGAAAGTTTATAGCAATAAGCACTTACAAAAAAGTAGAAAGACTTTAAATATACAACTTAATTATGCATCTTTAAGAACTAAAAAAGCAAGAGCAAATCAAACACAAAATTAGTAGAAGAAAATAAATAATAAAGATCAGAGAAGAAACAAATAAAATTAATATACATAAAAGATCAACAAATGAAAAGTTGGTTTTCTTTTGAAAAGATAAATAAAATCAACAAACCTTTAGCAGACTAAGAAAAGAGAGAAGACCTAAATACATATAATCAGAAGTGAAAAAAGAGACATGACAATTTATATTACAGAAATTCAAAGGAATATTAGAGACTACTATGAGCAATTATATGCCAATAAATTGAAAAACCTATAAGAAATGAATGAATTCCATGATACATACAACCTACCAATATTGAACCATTAAGAAATCTAAAACCTGAATGGACCAATAACAAGCAAAGTGATTGAAGATTATAATAAAAAGGCTCCCAACAAAAATAGCCAGAATTTGATGGCTTCCATGCTACCAAACAGTAACAAAAATATATATCCATCCTATTCAAACTATTCCAACAAACAGAGGAGGAGCGAATATTTCCAAAGTCATTCTATGAAGCCAAAATCAGACAAAGACATACAAAAAAAACAAAACTACAGGCTAATATTTCTGAGGAAGATTGTGGTAAAAATCTTCAACAAAAACCTAGCAAACTGAATTCATCAACACATTAAAAAAATCATTAATCATGACCAAATGGGATTCATCCCAGGGATGCAAGGATGGTTCCACAAATCAATCAATGTGATACATCATATCAAAAGAATGAAGGACAAAAATTATGTGATCATTTCAATTGATGCTGAAGAACCATTTGGTAAAATTTAACATCTGTTCGTAATAAAAACCCTCAAAAAACTGGGTATAGAAGGAACATACCTCAACAACATAAAAGCCATATATGACAGACCCAGAGCTAGTATCATACTGACTGTGGAAAAACTGATGAAAGCCTCTTCCAAGATCTAGAACAAAAAAGGATGCCCACTTTTCCATCATTATTCAACATAGTGCTGGAAGTCCTAGGTAAAGCAATGAGACAAGAGAAATAAACAAACGTTGTCCAAATTGAAAAGGAAGCCAAATTATCCTATTTGCAGATAATATTATTTTATATCTGGAAACATCTAACGACTCCACTAAAACACCATTAGAACTGATAAATTTAGTAAAGTGGAATAAAAAATCAATATACAAAAATCAGTAGTATTTCTATATGCCAACAGCAAACGATCTTAAAAAGTCAAGAAAGTAATCCCATTTACAACAGCTACAGTTAAAGTGAAAGGCCAAGGAATAAACTTAATCAAAGAAGTGAAAGATCCCTACAATAAAAACTAAAAAACATAAATTCAAAAAATTGAAAAGGACACAAAAAGTGGAAAAATATTTCATGTTCATCAATTGGAAGACTCAATATTATTAAAATGCCCATTCTACTGAAAGCAATTGACAGATTCAATGCACTCTCTATAAAAATACTGATAACATTCTTCAAAGAAATAGAAAAAAAATCCTAAAATTACTATGAAACTAAAAAAGACTTGGAATAGCTGAAGCTGTTCTGAATAAAATGAACAAAACTGGAGAAATTACATTTCTTGCCTTTATATTACAGAGCTATAGTAAACAAAACAGCATTGTACTGGCATAGAAACAGATACATACAATAGAATAGTGAACTCAGAAATAAATCCATGCATCTACAGTGAACTCATTTTCAATAAAGGTGCCAAAAGTATACACTGGCAAACAGTCTCTTCAATAAATGGTGCTGGGAAAATTGGGTATACATATGTGGAAGAAAAAAACTAGGCCCCTATCTCTCACCACATACAAAAATCAAATCAAAGTGGATTGAAGACATAAATCTAAGACCTCAAACTATGAAACTACTGCAAGTAAACATCAAGGAAACTCTTCAGGGTACTGGTCTGGGCACAGGTTTCTTGAGTAACACCTCAAAAGCACAGACAACCAAATGAAAATGGACAAATAACATCATGTAAAATTAAAAAGCTCTGCACAGAAAAGGAAGCAATTAACAAAGTGAAGAGACAACCCATGGAATGGAAGAAAATATTTGCAAACTATCTATCTGACAAGAGATTAATAAGCAGAATATATAAGGAACTCAACTCAATAGGGAAACATCTAATAATCTGACTAAGAAATAGGTAAATGAGGCTGGGTGCTGTGGCTCATGCCTGTAATACCAGCACTTTGGGAGGCCGAGGCAAGCAGATCATGAAGTCAGGAGATTGAGAGCATCCTGGCCAACATGGTGAAACTCCGTCTCTAGTAAAAATACAAAACTCAGCTGGGCATGGTGGTGCACACCTGTAGTCCCAGCTACTCAGGAGGCTGAGGCAGGGGAATCACTTGAACCCAGGAGGCAGAGGTTGCAGTGAGCTGACATCATGTCACTGACTCCAGCCTGGTGACAGAGAGAGAGACTCCCTCTGAAAAAAAAAAAAAAAAAAAAAAAGGCAAATTTATAGGCATTTCTGAAAAAAGACATACAAATAGCAACCAGACATATGAAAAGGTGGTCAATATTACTCATCCTCAGAGAAATGCAAATTGAAACTACAATGAGAACTACAGTTAAAATGGCTCTTATCCTAAAGATAGGCAATAATGAATGTTGGTTAGAGTGTGGAGAAAAGGGAGCCCTCATACACTGTTGGTGGGAATGTAAATTACTACAGCCACTATGGAGAAGATTATGGAAGTTTCTCAGAAAACTAAAAATAAAACACATACAATCCAGCAGCCTACTGCTAGGTATATATCCAGAAGAAAGAAATTCAGTATATCCTTTGCTGTACTCCCATGTTTACTGCAGAACTATTCATGGAAACCAATATTTGGAATAAACCTAAGTGTCCATCAACAGATGCACGTATTAATATAAATAAAATATGGTATATATACCCAGCAGAGTTCTATGCAGCCAAAAAATAAAAATAAAAATGAGATCCTGTCATTTACAACACAGACAGACATGGAGCACCCTGTCTTAAGCGAAATAAGCCAGGCACTGAAAGAGAAACTTTGCATGTTCTCAGTCATGTACAGGAACTAAAAATTAAAACATTTGAATTCAAGGCCATAGAGAATTAAAAAAGGATAGTGAGAAGGCTAGTGGGAAGGGGGCAGGAGGTGGTGATGATTAATGTGTACAAGAATATAATTAGATAGAATGAATAAGATCTAGCACTTGATAGCACAACAGGGTGACCACAGTCAACAATGATTTATTACAGGGTTAAAAATAATTAAAAGTATAATTGAAATGCTCATAACACAAAGAAATGATAGTTGCTTGAGGTGATGGATACCCCATTTACCCTGATATAATTATTATACACTGATGCCTGTATTAAAGTATCTCATATAACCCATAAATATATATGCCTACTTATGAACTCAAAAAAAAGAACCAAAAAAACAAAATAACCAGATTATTATTTGGTTCAGAGAACATTGTTACTTGGAAAATACTTCAACAAATGGTAATTTCAAAGGCTTAAAAGGGTTGAATAGTCAGTTTGGAGAGTTTTTTAAAAACAGACAAAGCAAAAATATTTAACATAGATTATGTCACCTTTCGTGATACTATGATCACATAATTGCTAATATATGCAGGTAAAATAAAAAATTAATACTCAATAATAATAAATAAAAACTGGTAGACAAATTCTATTTCTGAGAAATATACAGCAAATCCTAGCAGGCTATCTTAAAAAAAAATTGTATCTTTAAAGGCATTAGAGAGCTGTGAAAAAAATGAGGAAAAGAAGTAAATTTAATGAAAAAAAGGACTGTCCTGAGATAAGCTTTTTATTGCAAGTCTCTTTTCCTTAAGGACACTGTCTTTTGTCTCTTCAGACTTGGGAGAGGATTTGGTCTAGAAAGCGTAAATAGAAATCATTAGCATGAGCAGTTTTCTCCACAGAATATCTGCTATGTGTAGGTGCTTCACAGGAAACAAGTGGGCTAGGTCAAGAGATTCCATAAGAAGATTGAAATATCCTTTAGGTTCACATGCATCAAAAATAGCACATACATATATATTTTTTATTGAAACTTAAGAACATTTAAAAATATATAGAACAGCCAGGCGAGGTGGCTCACACCTGTAATCCCAGCACTTTGGGAGGCCAAGGCAGGAGGATCACCTGAGGTCGGGAGTTCGAGACCAGCCTGCCCAACATGGAGAAACCCCATCTCTACTAAAAATACAAAATTAGCCAGGTGGGGTGGTGCATGCCTTCAATCGCAGCTATTTGGGAGGCTGAGGCAGGAGAATCACTTGAACCCGGGAAGTGGAGGTTGCAGTGAGCCAAGATTGTGCCATTGCACTCCAGCTGGGAAACAAGAGCAAAATTCCGTCTCAAAAAAAAAAAAAAAAAAAAAAAAAAAATATATATATATACACACACACACACACACACACACACACACACACACACACACAGATGACAATGTCTTAAATATTTTTGAGTGAGTACAATTTCTAAATAGTTTAATGAATAAAAAGCTAGGTGTGGGAATAAATATAATAAGTCTTTATATATATTATTAAAAAGTTTTCATATCTAGAGAAAAAATAATGTTTAGTCTTAAATTCTGTATCCAGTCAAAATTTATTGAATGAAGACATTTTAAGATCTACAAGAACTCAGAAAATTTGTTAACAGAAACCTCCTAGATCAGAACTAAAAGATGTATTCTTTTTTTTATTATTATACTTTAAGTTTTAGGGTACATGTGCACAATGTGCAGGTTAGTTACATATGTATACATGTGACATGCTGGTGCGCTGCACCCACTAACTCGTCATCTAGCATTAGGTATATCTCCCAATGCTATCCCTCCACCCTCCCCCAACCCCACCACAGTCCCCAGAGTGTGATATTCCCCTTCCTGTGTCCATGTGATCTCATTGTTCAATTCCCACCTATGAGTGAGAATATGCGGTGTTTGGTTTTTTGTTCTTGCGATAGTTTACTGAGAATGATGATTTCCAATTTCACCCACGTCCCTACAAAGGACATGAACTCAACATTTTTTATGGCTGCATAGTATTCCATGGTGTATATGTGCCACATTTGCTTAATCCAGTCTATCATTGTTGGACATTTGGGTTGGTTCCAAGTCTTTGCTATTGTGAATAATGCCGCAATAAACACACGTGTGCATGTGTCTTTATAGCAGCATGATTTATAGTCATTTGGGTATATACCCAGTAATGGGATGGGTGGGTCAAATGGTATTTCTAGTTCTAGATCCCTGAGGAATCGCCACACTAACTTTCACAATGGTTGAACTAGTTTACAGTCCCACCAACAGTGTAAAAGTGTTCCTATTTCTCCACATCCTCTCCAGCACCTGTTGTTTCCTGACTTTTTAATGATTGCCATTCTAACTGGTGTGAGATGGTATCTCATTGTGGTTTTGATTTGCATTTCTCTGATGGCCAGTGATGATGAGCATTTTTTCATGTGTTTTTTGGCTGCATAAATGTCTTCTTTTTTTTTTTATTATACTTTAAGTTTTAGGGTACATGTGCACATTGTGCAGGTTAGTTACATATGTATACATGTGCCATGCTGGTGCGCCGCACCCACTAACTCGTCATCTAGCATTAGGTATATCTCCCAATGCTATCCCTCCCCGCTTGCCCCACCTCACCACAGTCCCCAGAGTGTGATATTCCCCTTCCTGTGTCCATGTGATCTCATTGTTCAGTTCCCACCTATGAGTGAGAATATGCTGTGTTTGGTTTTTTGATCTTGCGATAGTTTACTGAGAATGATGATTTCCAATTTCATCCATGTCCCTACAAAGGACATGAACTCATCATTTTTTATGGCTGCATAGTATTCCATGGTGTATATGTGCCACATTTTCTTAATCCAGTCTATCATTGTTGGACATTTGGGTTGGTTCCAAGTCTTTGCTATTGTGAATAATGCCGCAATAAACATACGTGTGCATGTGTCTTTATAGCAGCATGATTTATAGTCCTTTGGGTATATAGCCAGTAATGGGAAGGCTGGGTCAAATGGTAATTCTAGTTCTAGATCCCTGAGGAATCACCACACTGACTTCCACGATGGTTGAACTAGTTTACAGTCCCACCAACAGTGTAAAAGTGTTCCTATTTCTCCACATCCTCTTCAGCACCTGTTCTTTCCTGACTTTTTAATGATTGCCATTCTAACTGGTGTGAGATGGTATCTCATAGTGGTTTTGATTTGCATTTCTCTGATGGCCAGTGATGATGAGCATTTTTTCATGTGTTTTTTGGCTGCATAAATGTCTTCTTTTGAGAAGTGTCTGTTCATGTCCTTCACCCACTTTTTGATGGGGTTGTTTGTTTTTTTCTTGTAAATTTGTTTGAGTTCACTGTAGATTCTGGATATTAACCCTTTGTCAGATGAGTAGGTTGCGAAAATTTTCTCCCATTTTGTAGGTTGCCTGTTCACTCTGATGGTAGTTTCTTTTGCTGTGCAGAAGCTCTTTAGTTTTATTAGATCCCATTTGTCAATTTTGGCTTTTGTTGCCATTGCTTTTGGTGTTTTGGACATGAAGGCCTTGCCCATGCCTATGTCCTGAATGGTAATGCCTAGGTTTTCTTCTAGGGTTTTTATGGTTTTAGGTCTAACATTTAAATCTTTAATCCATCTTGAATTGATTTTTGTATTAGGTGTAAGGAAGGGATCCAGTTTCAGCTTCCTACATATGGCTAGCCAGTTTTCACAGCACCATTTATTAAATAGGGAATCCTTTCCCCATTGCTTGTTTTTCTCAGGTTTGTCAAAGATCAGATAGTTGTAGGTATGCGGCGTTATTTCTGAGGACTCTGTTCTGTTCCATTGATGTATATCTCTGTTTTGGTACCAGTACCATGCTGTTTTGGTTACTGTAGCCTTGTAGTATAGTTTGAAGTCAGGTAGTGTGATTCCTCCAGCTTTGCTCTTTTGGCTTAGGATTGACTTGGCAGTGCGGGCTCTTTTTTGGTTCCATATGAACTTTAAAGTAGTTTTTTCCAATTCTGTGAAGAAAGTCATTGGTAGCTTGATGGGGATGGCATTGAATCTGTAAATTACCTTGGGCAGTATGGCCATTTTCACGATATTGATTCTTCCTACCCATGAGCATGGAATGTTCTTCCATTTGTTTGTATCCTCTTTTATTTCCTTGAGCAGTGGTTTGTAGTTCTCCTTGAAGAGGTCCTTCACATCCCTTGTAAGTTGGATTCCTAGGTATTTTATTCCCTTTGAAGCAATTGTGAATGGGAGTTCACTCATGATTTGGCTCTCTGTTTGTCTGTTATTGGTGTATAAGAATGCTTGTGATTTTGGTACATTGATTTTGTATCCTGAGACTTTGCTGAAGTTGCTTATCAGCTTAAGAAGATTTTGGGCTGAGACAATGGGGTTTTCTAGATATACAATCATGTCGTCTGCAAACAGGGACAATTTGACTTCCTCTTTTCCTAATTGAATGTTCTTCCATTTGTTTGTATCCTCTTTTATTTCCTTGAGCTGTGGTTTGTAGTTCTCCTTGAAGAGGTCCTTCACATCCCTTGTAAGAAAGATCCAAAACTGACACCCTAACATCACAATTAAAAGAACTAGAAAAGATGTATTCTTGTAAAGAGAAAATTAAACCCAAGAGGAATTTGTTAGAGCAAAAGCAAAACTCAGAAGAGGTTTAATTCCCATATGTGAAGGAATAAAGAAGTTGGCAAATCCTATCACACACAAAAAATTGGGGGTGGGGAAGGAGAGAAAAACATACACATAAAAGAAAACAAAAGTGTAAAATGGAACAGAATTTCTGATAACAAAAATTTCAAGTTTCTAGAAATTAATGAAAGGCATACAATAAACGTAGAAGTATTTTAAAATAAACTGATAATTCTTTGGGTAAGAGAAAATGGGAATCTGCTCATTCATTGCTGGGGCCTGTTACTATTCTTGATCCTCACACCAAATTGTGAAGAACTACAGTTTTACCAAGAGCAGATTTGGCTGCAAAAGCAAGCAGCTGTGCTGCCAGAGTGTGCAGATTCAATTTGGCATGAGGGTTGCAGGCAAAAGCCCAAGGTTTAGTCAACTAAAAGTGGTAGAAAGTATATGGGGAAAACACCTTGCTTCTAGTATTCAGAGTTATGACCTTGATTAGGATAAATAGTGGACCAACCAGGAACAGACAGAGATCCTGGAAAAAAGGAAGAGTCATAGTGTATCAGATTGAATTGTATCCTCCCAAAATTTATATTTTAAAGTCCTGACTTTTAATACATCTCAGAATGTGATTGCATTTGAACATAAGGTCTTTAAAGAGATGATCACAGTTAAATAAGGTCATATAGGTGGGCCATGATCCAATAAGACTGATGTCCATATAAAGGAAGGAGAGATATAGAGGATGTATTCACACAGAGAAAGGGCCATGTGAGCACACAGTAAGAAGGCAGCCATCTGCAAGCCAAGGAGAAAGGCCTCAGGAGACAATAAACAAACAAACATAACAATACTTTGACTTTGGACTTCTAGCCCCCAGAACTATGAGAAAATACATGTTTGATCTTTAAGCCACTCAGTGTGTTATTTTTCTATGGTAGCCTTAAAAAACGAATACATACTGAATTAAATAACCTCTAAGACATCTCTGGTTTTTTGAAAACTATACTGCTGCAAAGGGAAGACACTGAAGAGAACAGTGACACTGAAGTCAAATAAGTTTTAAAGAACTGGATGAATTTTGAATATGTTTCTCAACCCACGGATAGATCAATCAGCATTAGTTAGAAGCCTCTCAGGTTTGATGAGCTTGAACAAAACTTCCGCTCAAAGCATTAGCTGACAACTAAGTAATATGACACATTGGGTGCTGCTTCAAAAGTTGGCCTAAGAGATAAAAATAAAAAACAATAACAATAATAGTAAATAGCAGGGGCTATCGTTTTTTGAGAGGAGGAAGATTTTGCAGTTTAAGTCCAGGCAAATTACTTAAAAAAAAAAAAAAAAAAAAAAAACCGAAAAAACAATTTACAGTATGGAGTTGCTTTAATGAATTATCTAAAATGTCCAGTTTATGGGAAACGGGCAGTAAGGTTGAATAGGAGGTTTTAGCCTCATACACTAAAGGAAACATCAATTTTGACAACCAGCCATTGAGAAGAATAACTTTGTGGATTCCGGGGTCTAGCTTAGAGGTTTTAAGCACCACAGTGGCACCAAAAATCTGATTAAATACATAAAAAAGGTATTAGTTAACAGAGCAGTTTCATTTTACTCACATTACTCCTCCCCCAAAGTGGTACAGTTTGATGCTGAGAGAGGCCCCTTTGGCCTGCAATTTCTCCCACAGGGAAAGGTGAGTGCAAAATGAGCGCCCAGCTCACCCAGTCTTTTGGGAAACCATCCAGGAGGCCCACTTCTGTCTCTTCCCTCACATGGAACACTGAGAGAATCAGCAAAGCTGAATGTCTCAGGTATGGCAATTTCCTGATGATAGGAAGAGAGAGAATGGGTGGGAGTACACAGCAGGCAGTGTGCAGTTGTAAACAGCAGGCCACAGATTCTGCTAACTGGGTCACAGACACCAAGAGGTGTCACCTACAGTGGACAGTTTTCCACATATTCCTATATATAACTTATATGAAGTTCCACAGATAGCATATAAATATCAGGAGCAGAGAGGAGAAGATTCACAACCTTAAACATTTCAGGGCACTGATTCAGGAAAAATAAATGGAAGACTGACAGCACTGGGCCTAATTTTGTGTGTTCTAGAGAGCCGCACAATCCTAAAACTTTCCCCTAGAAGAAAACAAGAAGAGTAGAATGGGTGTAACCATAGAAAAGATCTAAGAGATGTCAAGAATCTCTTGCTGGTCTCACTAGTGAAGACCTTTCTCTCTCAAAGCCAGTCAGTAAAAACTGGAGGATGTGACTGCTTTTTCAAATACAAAGACAGCAATGAAAGGAACATGAAGTATCAAGAATATATTACACCAACAAATGAACAAGATAAAGCTCCAGTGGTTGGTTTCAAGTAGGTGGAGGTCTACAAATTGCCTGAAAGTGAATTTAAAATAGTAGTCTTAAGGAAACTCATATAGACAACTAAATATATCAGAAAAAAAGGAGATAAAAAGAGATGCTCAACAAAGAGATAGAAACCATAAGAAAACACGAAACATATATTATATAGATAAATAATACAATGTTTCAACAGAAAATTTAATAGACAGCTTCAACATTAGATTTGACCAAGCAAAAGAAAGAATAACATCAGAGACAGAGCATGTGAAATAAACCAGTGAGAGGAACCAAAAGAGACTAAAAGCAGTGAAGCAAGCATGCAGGAATGATGAGATATCATCAAGCAAACCAATATGTGCATTATGTGAATCTCAGAAGGAACAGAGAACATCAAAGGGCAAGAAAGTTTATGTAAACTAATAAATAAGAAACTTTCCAAATATGAGAAGAGATATGAACATATAGTTATATAAAGCTTATAAGTTTCTAAATGATCAAACTAAAAGTGGCTTTCACTAAGACACATTATAATCAAATTATCAAATTCAAAGTCAAAGAGAATTTTGAGAGCGGCGATTCAACAGTGATTCATCACATAAAAGTGAACCCATGTTGCCAGGCGCGGTGGCTTATGCCTGTAATCTCAGCATTTTGGGAGGCCAAGGCGGGTGGATCACGAGGTCAGGAGTTCACCAGCCTGGCCAACATGGTGAAACCCCTTCTCTACTAAAAATACAAAAATTAGCTGGGCATAGTGGTGCGTGCCTGTAATCCCAGCTACTTGGGAGGCTGAGGCAGAAGATTTGCTTGAACCAGGATCTGGGAGGCGGAGGTAGCAGTGAGTGAGATCATGCCACTGCACTCCACTGTACTCTAGCCTGGGCTACAGAGCAAGACTCTGTCTCTCAAAAAAAAAAAAAAAAAAAAAAAAAGTAAACCCATGCAACAAAAACTTTGCAGGCCAGGAGAAAATGAAATGCTACATTCAATGTTCTATAAAACCAAGAACACAAAAAACAAAACTGTCAGGCAAAAGCATTATACCCAGCAAAGCTGTTTTTCAGAAATGAAGGAGAAAAAATATTCCAAGGCAAACAAAAGATGAGGCAATTCATCACTACCAGATCTACCTTACAAGAAATAATGAAGACAATTCTTCAGGTAGAAACCAAAGGACACTGATTATACATGAAGATATATGATGAGCCAGGCATGGTGGCTCATGCCTGTAATCCCAGTACTTTGGGAAGCCGAGGTGGGTGGATCACCTGAGGTCAGGAGTTTGAGACTAGCCTGGCCAATGTGGTGAAACCCCGTCTCCACTAAAAATACAAAAATTAGACAGGCTTGGTGGCACACACTTGTAATCCCAGCTACTCAGGAGGCTGAGGCAGGAGAATCGCTTGAATTCAGGAGGCAGAGGTTGCAGTGAGCTGCGATCATGCCATTGCACTCCAGTCTGGGCAACAAGAGCAAAACTCTGTCTCAAAAAAAAAAAAAGAAAAAAAAGAAAAAAAAGAAAGAAAATATATGAGAAAAAAACTCACTGATAAAGGTAAATATATAATTAAATTTAGAATATTTGAAGGGACTCATGCAGGTGGGTTCTCAAGTGGTGCTTTTTTATCCAGGCCTGTGATGGCTGCTGGGAACAGTAGCTACTAGCTAATTTGATAGTTTCATTAAAAACAAAAATCAGTAAGAAAACATTGGGCTTAAACAACACTTTAAATCAAATGGACCTAAAAAACATATATAGAACAATCCATCCAACAGCAGCAGAATATACATTCTTCTCAAGCACACATAGAACATTCTCATGGATGGGTTTTATGTTAGGCCACAAAAGTAGTTTCAGCAAATTTAAGAATATTGAAAACATATCAGGTATTTTTTCCAATCACAACAAATAAAAGTAAAAATCAGTAACAGGAAGAAAGTTGAAAAAATCATAAATATGTGAAAATTAAGCAACATACTTCTAAACAATCAACAGGCCAAGAAGAAAATCAAAAGGGAAATTACAGAATATTCTGAGGCAAATGAAAATGGAAACACATAATACCTAAACTTATGGTATGCAGCAAAAGCAATTATAGGAGGAAAGTTCTAGCAATAAACACCTACATTAAGAAAAATAAGACCTCAAATAAACCAGCAGTCTCCAACCCTTTTAGCACCAGGGACCAGTTTCATGAAAGACAGTTATTCCACGATCTGCAGGGATGGTTTTGGGATGAAACTGTTCCACCTCAGGCATTAGATTCTCATAGGAGTGTGCAACCTAGATCCCTTGCATGCAGAGTTCACAACAGAGTTTGCCCCTCCTATGAGACTCTAATGCTGGTCCGTGGCCCAGGTGTTTGGGACCCCTGAAATAAATAACCTATGTTCATACCTCAAGGAACTAGAAAAGGAAAAAAAACTAAGCTTAATGTTAGCAGAAAAAAAGGAAATAACAAAAGTTAAAGCAGAAGTAAATGAAGCAGAGACTAGGAAAACAACAAAAGAGATAAAATTAAGTATTTTTTGAAATCAAATGGATCAGCTAAGAAAAAATAGAGAAGATTCAAATAAATAAAATCAGAAATGAAAGATGAGATATTACCACAGTACCATAGAAATACAAAGGATCATAAGAAATTATTATAAACAATTATACACCAAAAAATTGTATAACCTAAAATAAATAAATAAACTCCTAGATACAAACAACTTACCAAGACTGAAACATGAAGAAATTGATCATCTGAATAGACAAATAATGATTAAGGATATTGAACCACTAATCAAAAACATTCCAACAAAGAAGAGCTCAGACCAAAAATTTTAAAAATAAACACAAATCTTTTGAAAGTCTTCCAAAAACTTAAGCAAAAAATACTTTCAAACTCATTTTATAACACCAGCATTACCCTAATTCTAAAGCCAGACAAAGACACTATAAGAAAAAAAAGAGCTATAAGCCAATATCCCAGATGAACATAAATGCAAAAATAACCAACAAAATACTAGCAAACCAAATTCAAAGCATGTGAAAAGGGATCATTTACCACAGTTAAGTGTGATTTATCTCTGAAATGCAAGGATGGTTCAACATAAATCAATAAATGTGTTATACCACATAAACAGAAAGAAGAATAACCTGAGCACAGTGGCTTACATCTGTAATCCCAGCTACTCAGGAGACTGAAGTGGGAGGACACTGCACTGCAGCCTGGGCAACAAAGTGAGACCCCGTCTCAAAAAACAAACAAAAATGAAGAAGAATAATCATATAGTCATCTCATTAGATCAGAAAAAGCGTTTGAAAAAATCAACATTCTTTCATAAAAGAAAAAACTTTCAAAAATTAGCTATAAAAGAAATGTATCCCAATCCAATAAAAGTTATATGAGTCAAACCCATAGCTAATGTACTCGGCAGTGATCGGGAACAAGGCAAGGAGGGCAACTCTTGGCACTTCTATTCGACATATGACTTGTAGTGCTAGTCAGAGCAATTAGGCAAGAGAAATAAGTAAAAGGCATCCATATCTGAAAGGAAAAGTTAAATTGTCTCTGTTTGCAGATGACATGATCTGCTATATTGAAATCCCCGAAAACTCCACCAAAAAATCTCTTGGAACTAATTAACTAATTCATTAAGGTAGCAGAATACAAAATAAACACGTAAAAATCAGTTACATATCTATATGCTATTAATGAACAATAAAAAAAGAAACTAAGTAAACAATTCCATTTACAACAGCTATGAAAAAATAAAATAAAATATTTGAAAATATATTTACCCAAGGAGGTGAAAAATTTATAAACAGAAACCTATAAAACATTAATTTTAGAAATTAAAGATGGCATAAATAAGTGGAAATATATTCTGTGTTCATGGATTAAAGGAATTAATATTATCAAAATAGCCATATTACCTAAAGCAGTCTACATATTGAATGCAATTCCTATCAAAATTCCAATGATAGTTTTCTCAGAAATAGAAAAATCAATCCTAAAATTTATATGGAACCAGAATAACTAAATAACTGAAGCCCTAAATAACTAAAGCAATCTTGAGTAAGAAGAACCAAGCTGGAGAAATATGGCTTTCTGATTTCAAACTATATTACAAAGCTATAGTAATCAAATCAGTATGGTATTGGCATAAAAATGGACACACAGACCAACGGAACACAATAGAAAGCCAATAAATAAGCCCCCCATATTGGCAAACTAATCTTTGATAAAGCTGCCACAAATACATAATGGAGAAATAATAATTTCTTCAATAAATGGTTTTAGGAAAACTGGATATCCAAATGCCAAAAAATATAGAATTAGATCCTTATCTTGCACCATAAAAAATTAACTACAAATGGACTGAAGAATTGAATCTAAGAACTGAGAATTATATTTAATAAAAATTCTATACATTTATTGTGGACATTATGTTTTGAAATATGTATACATTGTGGAATTGCTGGATTTAGTTAATTACATAGGTATCACCTCACATATTTCTTTTTTCAGTAAGATCATTTAAAATATACTCTGTTTGTGACTATCAAGAATACATTGTTATTAAATATAGTTGCCATGTTGAAATAAAATGGATAAGATTAAAAAATATTAAAGCATTACATATCTCTTAAACTTATTCCTCCTATCTAACTAAAATTTTCTGGGTTTTTTTCACTAATCTCCCTAATACCACAGTCTACCCCTGGGAACAACCATTATACTCTGTTTCCCAGTTTAAGATTTTAGGTTCCACATATAAGTGAGATCATGCCATATTTGTCTTTCTGTGCCTGAATCATTTTAATTAAAATAATGTCCTACAGGCTCATGCATGTTGTAAATGACATAATTTCCTTCTTTTTTAAGGCTATAATTTTTCTATTGTGTATATGTACCACATTTTCTTCATCCATTTATTCACTAATGAATACTTGGGTTGATTACTTATCTTAACTTTTCGCTGCAATGAACATAAGAATGCAAAACCCTCTAACATAGTAATTTAAGTTTCTCTAGGTTAATACACATTAGTGGGATTTCCAGATCCTGTGGTAGTGTTATTTTTAATTTTTTTTGAAAAACCTCATACCATTTTCCATGATGGCTGTACCAATTTTCATTCCCAAGAACAGTGTAAAAGGATTTACATTTCTCCACATCAACAACACGTGTTACCTTTTATCTGTTTAATGATAGCCATTTCAACAGGTGCGAAGTGCTATCTCATTGTTTTTTTCATTTGCATTTCCCTGATAATTAGTGATGTTGAGCATTTTTTCATATACCAGTTGGCCATTTGTGTTTTCTTTTGAGAAATATCTATTAGGTGCTTTGCCCATTTCTTTTAATTAGGTTGTTTTCTTATCACTGAGTTGTCTGGGTTTCTTATATATTTTGGATATTAACTCTTTATCAGATGTATGGCTTACAAACATTTTTTTCTATTCTGTAACTTGCTTCTTAACTCTGGTGATTGTTTCCTTTGCTGTGCAGAAACCTTTTAGTGTGATGCAACCCCTTTGTTTGTTTTCACTTTTGTTCCCTATGCTTTGAGATTCACAAAAAATAATTTTCCAAGATTTATCTGATGGAGCTTTGCCCCTATGTTTTGTTCTAGTAGTTTTACAGTTTCAAATCTTACCCTTAAGTCTTTAATCCATTTTGAGTTAATT
This sequence comes from Homo sapiens, assembly GCF_000001405.40. Classification (NCBI taxonomy): domain Eukaryota; kingdom Metazoa; phylum Chordata; class Mammalia; order Primates; family Hominidae; genus Homo; species Homo sapiens. The sequence continues at coordinate 98,426,810 of NC_000011.10, read as the reverse complement.
TTTGTAAGTGGTATGAGGTAAGAACAAGACCTGAAACTTTAAAACTCTTAGAAGAAAACATAGAGGAAATACTACATAAAATTGTTCTTGGCAATGACTTTTTGAATATGACACCAAAAGCATAAGCAGCAAAAGCTACAATAAACAGTAGGACTATATGAAACTAAAATGATTCTGTAGAGCAAATAATTTAAAAAAATGAAAAGGCAACCTATAGAATAGGAGAAAATATTTGCAAATTATATACCTGATAAGGAGTTGATATGCAAAATACATAGCCAAAAAACTCAATAGCTAAAAAAAAAACCCATAACCTGATTAAAAAATGTGCAAAGGACCTGAAGAGATATTTTTTCAAAGACAACATATGAATAGTTAACAGGGCAATAAACAGGTGGTCGACATCACTAATCATCAGGAAAATGCCAACATAACTCACAATGAGACATCACTGTGCATCTGTTATGACGGTTACTATCAGAAAGTCAAAAGATAGCAAGTGTTGTCAAGGATGTGGAGAAAAGGAAATCCTTCTATATTGTGGATTGGAAGTGGCTATTGGTACATCCATTATGGAAGAACAATATAAAGGTTCCTCAAAAAATTAAAAACCACCATATGATCCAGCGCTCCTACTACTGGGTATATATCAAAATGAAATGATAAGTATGTCGAAGAGAAATCTTCATTCTCTTGTTTATTGCAGTATTATTCATAGTAGCCTAGATATGAAGTCAACTTTTGTCCACTGGCATATAAATGGATAGAGAAAATGTAAAAAATATGTATCATGCATACATAGCATATTATTCAGCTATAAAAAGGGGAGAAAATTCTGCCAGTTGCAACAACACAGATAAGCCAGGAGAATGTTATGCTAAGTGAAATAAGCAAGATACAGAAAGACAAATATTGCATTATCTCACTTGTATTTGGAATCCAAAAAAAACACCTCAAACCCACAGAAACAGAGAGTATAAGGTGTTTACCAGAAGTCAGGTGTTGGGGAAATGAGCAGATGTTCATAAACAGTTGTAGACTACCATTTGTAAAATGAGTAAGTTCTGGAGAGCTAATTTATAGCACGGTGACTATAGTTAATAATAATGTGTTTTATACTTTAAATTTGCAGAGAACAAATCTTTTTTTTTTTGAGACAGAGTTTCACTGTTGTTGCCCAGGCTGGAGTGCAGAGGCATGATCATGGCTCACCGCAAACTCTGCTTCCTGGGTTCAAGTGATTCTCCTGCTTCAGCCTCCCAAGTAGGTGGGATTACAGGCACGTGTCACCACATCCGGCTAATTTTGTATTTTTAGCAGAGACGGGGCTTCTCCATGTTGGTCAGGCTGGTCTCAAACTCCTGACCTCAAGTGATCCACCCGCCTTGGCCTCCCAAAATGCTGGGATTACAGGCATGAGTCACCATGCCCAGTCCATGTTGAATATTTTTGTATCTTACCAAGTTAATCCTGAAATGTATATGAAAAATATATTCAAGAACCGTAAGAATAATTTAGAAAAATAAGAACAAAGATATGGGAGTTGTTTTTCTATTGAAATGCCAAAGCATCTATTAATGTATGATAATAATACCATGTATATTGCTACAGGACTAGATAAATAAGTAGAAAATAAAAACAAGAGTCTAGAGAGTTCAAAAATAGGCACATATGAGAGGTGAAGCCAGCTGGACTTCCTGGGTTGAGTGGGGACTTGGAGAACTTTTCTATCTACCTAGAGTATTGTAAAAACACCAATCAGCACTCTGTGTCTAGCTAAAGGATTGTAAATGCACCAATCAGCACTCTGTAAAAATGCACCAGTCAGCGCTGTGTCTAGCTAAAGGATTGTAAAATGGACCAATCAGCACTTTGTAAAATGGACCCAACAGCAGGATGTGGGCGGGGACAAATAACAGAATAAATGCTGGCCACCCCAGCCAGCAGCAGCAACCTGCTTGGGTCCCCTTGCATGCTGTGGAAGCTTTGTTCTTTAGCTCTTCACAGTATATCTTGCTGCTGCTCACTCTTTGGGTCGGCACCACCTTTAAGAGCTGTAACACTCACTGTGAAGGTCCACGGCTTCATTCCTGAAGTCAGTGAGACCATGAACCCACCAGAAGGAAGAAACCGCAGACACATCTGAACATCTGAAGGAACAAACTCTGGACACACCATGTTTAAGAGCTGTAACTCTCACCATGAAGATCTGCAGCTTCATTCTTGAAGTCAGCGAGACGAAGAACCCACCGGAAGGAATAAATTCCAGACACATTTTGGCAACCACGAAGGGACTATCACCTATCACCAAGCAGTGAGTACCATTGGACCCCTTTCACTCGCTATTCTGCCCTACTTTTCCTTAGAATTCGGGGGCTAAACACTGGGCACCTTTTGGCCAGTTAAAAGTGACTAGCACAGCCACCAGACTAAAGACATGGGTGTCAGGCTTTCTGGGAAAGGGCTCTCTAACAACCCTGACTCTTTGGAGTTGGGAGCATTGGTTTGCCTGGAACCAGCTTCTGCTTTTCCTGTATTTCTGGGCTGAGATGAGGGTCAACAGAAAGGAAAGCAATTCAGCTCCGGGGTCCCGACAACAACTCGGTAGATCCTGCGGCCATAAGTGGAACTCTCAAAGTCACATTGCCCAAGCAAGACTCGCCCATCTGTCCTGATTGCCCCTGGGTCCTAATGCCTGTCAGACAAACTTCCTCTCCCCTCTCTTCTCCAACTACTAGAAGCGGCTAGTTCCGCTTCTAGAAACCACTCCCTGTCTCTGGTGCTTTTCTCATTTCTCCTATAAGAATGATTTCTAGTATAAACTCCAGGACTCTATTCCCTTCTTTAGGTACCCGGGCTCACCAATCAGAAAGACATAATTTTTGCCCAAAGCCCCATCAGGGTGGGGGACTACCTGGAATTTTAGGATTCCTCCTCAGACAAGCAGGCCTAACAAAAGCTATTCCTGAAGCTAGGATATGGGGAGCTTCAGAAATGATATCCTTCCTATACAAGTGAGGACAAAAGGCATCATTCTTCCAACCCTGAAGATCACTTCCTTCCCTCAGGGTATGGCCTTCCACTTCATTTTTGGGACATAACATCTTTATAGGACAAGAGTAAGGTCCCAGTACTAACAGGAGAATGCTTAGGACTCTAACAGGTTTTCAAGAATACATCAGTAACGGCCACTAAATCCGACCTTCCTTGGTCCTCCTTGCAGTCTAGGAGGAAAACTAGTGTTACTGCTGCTGCATCGGTGAGTGCAACTATTCCAATCAGCAGGGTCCAGGGACTGTTGTGGGTTCTTGGGCAAGAGGGGGATCTGCTGCTGCACTGATGAGTGCAACTATTCTGATCAGCAGGGTCCAGGGACTGTTGCAGGTTCTTGGGCAGGGGTTGTTTCTGCTGCTGTGTTGGTGAGTGCAACTATTCTGATCAGCAGGGTCCAGGGACCGTTGCAGGTTCTTGGGCAGGAGAGAAACAAAACAAACCAAAACTGCAGGCAGTTTTTTCTTTCATGTGGGAAACACTCAGCCATCAACAGGCTCACCCTTGAAATGCATCCTAAGCCATTGGGACCAATCTGACCTGCAAACCCTGAAAAAGAAGCAACTCATTTTTTTCTGCAATATAGCCTGGCCCCAATATTCTGTCTCTGATGGGAAAAAATGGCCACCTGAGGGAAGTATAAATTACAATACTAGCTTGCAGCTTGACCTTTTCTGTAAGCAGAAAGGCAAACGGAGTGAAATACCTTATGTCCAAACTTTCTTTTCATTGAAGGAGAATCCACAACTATGCAAAGCTTGCAATTTACATCCCACAGGAGGACCTCTCAGCTTACCCCCATATCCTAGCCTCCCTATAGCTCCCCTTCCTATTAATGATAAGCCTCCTCTAATCTCCCCTGCCTAGAAGGAAACAAGCAAAGAAATCTCCAAAGGACCACAAAAACCCCCGGGCTATTGGTTATGTCCCCTTCCAGCTGTAGGGGGAGGGGAATTTGGCCCAACCCAAGTACATGTCCCCTTCTCCCTCTCTGATTTAAAGCAGATCAAGGGAGACCTGGGGAAGCTTTCAGATGATCCTGATAGGTATATAGATGTCCTACAGGGTCTGGCAAAAACCTTTGATTTCACTTGGAGAGTTGTCACGCTATTGTTAGATCAAACCCTGGCCTTTAATGAAAAGAATGCGGCTTTAGCTGCAGCCCAAGAGTTTGGAGATATCTGGTATCTTAGCAAAGTAAATGATAGAATGACAGCCGAAGAAAGGGACAAATTCCCTATTGGTCAGCAAGCTGTCCCCCGTATGGATCTGCACTGGGACCTCAACTCAGATCATGGGGACTGGAGTTGCAAACATCTGTTGACCTGTGTTCTAGAAGGACTAAAGAGAATTAGGAAAAAGCCCATGAATTATTCAATGATGTCCACCGTAACTCAAGGAAAGGAAGAAAATCCTTCTGCCTTCCTTGAGTGGCTACAGAAGGCCTTAAGGAAATATACTCCCCATCACCCAACTCACTAGAGGGTCAATTGATCCCAAAAGATAAGTTTATTACCCAATCAGCCTCAGATATCAGGAGAAACCAAAAGCTAGCCCTCAGCCCTGAACAAAATCTGGAGGCATTACTAAACCTGGCAACATCAGTGTTCTATAATAGGGACCAAGAGGAACAGGCTGAAAAGGAAAAACCAGATCAGAGAAAGGCCACAGCGTTAGTCATGGCCCTCAGACAAACAAACTCTGGTGGTTCAGAGAGGACAGAAAATGGAGCAGGCCAATCTCCCAGTAGGGCTTGTTATCTGTGTGGTTTGCAAGGACACTTTAAAGAAGATTGTCCAACAAGAAACAAGCTGCCCCCTCGCCCATGTCCACTATGCCGAGGCAATCACTGGAAGGCATACTGCCCCAGAGGACAAAGGTTCTCTGGGCCAGAAGCCCCCAACCAGATGACCCAACAACAGGACTGAGGGTGCCCAGGACAAGTGCCAGCTCATGTCATCACCCTCACTGAGCCCCCATACGTTTAAGCATTGAAGGCCAGGAAATTGACTTCCTCCTGGACACTGGCACACCTTCTCGGCGTTAATCTCCTCTCCTAGACAGGAGAGGAGATTAACTATCCGAGGAATCCTGGGACAGACTGTAGCCAGGTATCTCTCCCACCTCCTCAGTTGTAATTGGGAGACTTTGCTACAGATAGTAAGTATGCTTATCTAATCCTATATGCCCATGCTGTAATGTGGAAAGAAAGGAAGTTCCTAACCTCTGGGGGAACCCCCATTAAATATCACAAGGAAACCATGGAGTTATTGCACACAGTGCAAAATCCCAAGGAGTTGGCAACAGCAGCATAAGCGGCTGCCAGAAGCAGGGAAAGACCAGCAGAGCGACAAAGAAAAGAGAGAGAAAGAGAGAAAGAGAAAGACAGGAAGTCAAAGAGAAGGAGACAGAGAGAGGAAGAGACAGAGACAAGGAGTCAAAGAGAGAGACAGAGACAGAAAGTCAAAGAGAGACGGAAAGAGAGGAAGAGACAGAGAAAAAGCAGGAGTCAAAGAGAGAGAGAAAGACAGGAGTAGTAAAGAAAAAACAGTGTACCCTATTCCTTTAAAAGCCAGGGTAAATTTAAAACCTATAATTGATAATTGAAGGTCTTCTCCATGATTCTATAATACTCCAATACCACCTTGTTGTCAGTGTAAACAAGGGCAGAGCCAGAAAGCACTGAGGCCACTGACAACACGTAGCCTTCCTGTCCAAAATCCTTAACACAGCAGGTTTCCTAACAGGTGATCTAGATCTTAGTTGATTACCATGCAAAGGTCTGACCGGACCTAGGAGCAACTCCCTTCAGGACAGGAGGACAGATGATTCCTCCTAGGTGATTAAGGGAAAAAGACACAATGGGTATTCAGTGAGTGGTAAGGGAATTCTTGTAGAAGCAGTTAGGAAAATTGCCTAATAATTGGTTTGCTCAAACGTGCAAGCTGTTTGCACTCAGCCAAGCCTTAAAGTACTTACAGAATCAGGGAGGAGCCATCTATACCAATTTTAAGTTAATATGGACTGAACGAGGTCTTATTAATAGCAAAGAATAATTGAAATCCCAAACTTACAAGGTTTTCAACAAAAGTAAAGTTTGCTAAAAGTTAACAGTGTAACATGTATTATCCTACTACCACACACTCTCAAAGGATTTCTCAGATAGTTTGCAAGAAATAACAAAATCTATCCTTACTCTACAATCCCAAATAGACCCTTTGGCAGCAATGACTCTCCAAAACCGCTGAGGCCTAGACTTCCTCACTGCTGAGAAAGGAGGACATTGCACCTTCTTAGGGGATGAGTGTTGCTTTTACAGTAACCAGTCAGGGATAGTAGGAGACACCGCCTGGCATTTACAGGAAAAGGCTTCTGAAATCAGGCAATGCTTTTCTCTTATACCAACCTGTGGAGTTGGGTGACGTGGCTTCTCCCTTTTCTAGGTCCCATGACAGCCATCTTGCTACTACTCGCCTTTGGGCCCTGTATTTTTAACCTCCTTGTCAAATTTGTTTCCTCTAGGATCAAGGCCATCAAGCTACAGATGGTCTTACAAATGGAATCCCAAATGAGCTCACCTAACAACTTCTACCGAGGAGCCCTGGACTGACCCACTGGCCCTTTGACTGGCCTAAAGAGTTCCTCTCTGGAGGACACTACAACTGTGGGGTACCTTCTTCACCCCTATCCAGCAGGAAGTAGCTAGAGTGGTCATTGCCCAATTCCCAACAGCAGTTGGGGTGTCCTGTTTAGAGGGTGTATTAAGAGGTGAAGCCAGCTGGACTTCCTGGGTCAAGTGGGTACTTCGAGAACTTTTCTGTCTAGCTAGAGGATTCTAAACGCACCAATCAGCACTCCATGACTAAGGGATTGTAAATGCACCAGTCAGCACTCTGTGACTAGCTAAAGGATTGTAAATGAACCAATCAGCACTCTGTAAAAACACACCAATCAGCACTCCATGACTAGCTAAAGGATTGTAAATGCACCAATCGGCACTCTGTAAAAATGCACCAATCAGTGCTCTGTGTCTAGCTAAAGCATTGTAAAATGCACCAATCAGCACTCTGTAAAATGGACCAACCAGTGCTCTGTAAAATGGACCAATCAGCAGGACGTGGGCAGGGACAAATAAGGGGATAAAAGCTGGCCACCCCAGCCAGCAGCGGCAACCTGTTCGGGTCCTCTTCCATGCTGTGGAAGCTTTGTTCTTTCACTCTTCACAATAAATCTTCCTGCTGCTCACTCTTTGGGTCTGCACCACCTTTAAGAGCTGTAACACTCACTGTGAAGGTCTGCGGCTTTATTCTTGAAGTGAGCGAGACCACAAACCCACTGGAAGGAAGAAACTCCAGACACATCTGAACATCTGAAGGAACAAATTCCGGGCTCAGCATCTTTAAGAGCTGTAACACTCACTGCGAAGGTCCGCAGCTTCATTCTTGAAGTCAGCAAGACCAAGAACCCATCGGAAGGAATAAATTCCAGACACACATAAACATATTGATATGAGTGTATTGTAAAAATTTGCATAGATAGCACAAAGATGAATTCTTTAATAACATTTGTGATATTTTGAGAAAAACTAAATTACTTCAATTTCTTATTATTTATACAACATCTAAACTTCAAGTGTATTATAAGACACAAAAATGTGTTTATAACACTGCAATTGATAGAACATACCCAGTTGACCTTGATATGAATCTTTTGTCATGTGCTGACCTTGTATCAACAGAGTTTCCAGAAACACGGAGTAACTTTAAAGGCATTGGGAAATAAAAATAACATTTGATCTTTAAAAACATAAAATGACAAATTAAAAAAAGAAAAACAAAGTAAGAATTTAATTAGCTGGTCTTGATACCAAATATGAATTAAATATTTTACATGAGTTGTTAAGACTGTTTTCTTTTTCTTTTCTTTAATTTGATCAAAATAAAAACAAGACATGCATAACCCATAGAAATTTGTCATGTGGCAAATCTAAGCTTTGTCGATCTAAATAACACAGACAGACTCTCTAAAAGAAAACGACATTTACCTGTGAATGGTCATTGCAATGGAAATATATGTACCATAATAAACTATGTGCATTTCAAAGAGGTAAAGGAAAACTAAGATGTTTAAAAGAAAAATGAGCAGGATTTCAAAATTATTGCAGTTATTTTCCTTGGACACAGTAGTCAATAGCAAGGCTGGTATGAGTCCAGGGTTGAACAGGTAGTTGCTGGGCAGATGTTCCCGTAGAATATAATTTTTACATAATGCTGTGGTGGCCTTCGTGCAAAGTTGTGATTTTTGCAGAGTTTTTAGTGATAGTTGTTATCAGGCATTTGTGCATGAGAACCCTGCCCTCATGTTCTTCCCTGGCTTTATTTGTCAGGGTCTTTTACATAGTTAATTCTGACAACTTTTACCTTCTCTTGTATGTTCTCTTAGGAATGAGTAAAAGTATTATCATGTTATAGCTTTTTTGTTGTTGAGAGTTTTTATTTGTTTCTGCTACTTTTTCTGCTAAGATAATTATCTTAAAAAAAACAAGATAAAGAGGAATATTTGAGATAGTTTTATAAGCTCAGGGCAGCTTTTGCCAAACCACATTTACATCATCTCTCAATAGGTATAATTTGGAAAACATACTCAATGGTAAAAGGCTGAGAACCTTGGGGTTAAATGTAGTTTACATCAATATTAATGAGCGTTGTAAATCTTTTTAATTTTTTTTTAGCGTTTCCCAAACTTACTTACCATAGAAACTTGTTTTATAAAATGTATTTTATGGAGCATATTTTGAGAATATGCAATTTATTGCTAAACACTGTTATGTGTTTAATAGTGTAAAATAATTAGACACTCAAAACACAATTTGTAAAAACAATCAGGGGCCCCAGGAATTAGTTATTAAGTAGATATGAATTATTTATTCTAGAATTAGAAAGGATTACAAAGTTTACTTATTTCGATACCATTTCTCTCTCTTTTAAGTTCTGTAAAATCATTCATTTTCATTTCTATAATGAATCTTCTCAAGTAAATAACAGGCATTATTAGATGAAAGAAATCCAATCTAGTTTTAACAAGCTATGGCTCTTCGGTTTATTAAATTAATGAACATTAATTTCAGCATTTCCAATTAACCTTCTCTATCCCCAAAGTCCCCTAGAGTTCCCAGTTGTCACTACATATTAATCTTCCCCAGCTATGACTAGAATCGTACTTTTGGTAATGCGCCATCCTCTGTGACAGTGATTAGTTGGAAAGGGGCATCTCATTAAGAGGCTGAATTTCAAAGTACCACCAGATATAACAGTCATCTGTCAGTTCATCTGGCAAAAAAGTATATCCTTGCATCCACAGAAAAATAATGCAGGCTCATCAATACCAAGAACTCCCCTTTGCTTGTTGTGTTCATTACAGATCAAACTGTTCTGCACAGATGGAAAGTACTTTATTCCCTAGTTCCTGACATCTATCCATAAAATTAAAATAAGTATAAGATAACGTCATAGTAGAGGATGAAACCTTAATCTAAGATACAATTTCATTTGAAAATAAATGATAAAATACAGTGTAGCCATGAATATAAAACCTGAATTTAAAAAAAAACTAATAATGTTAAATACGAAAAATAATAATTAAATATCGCATGCAGGTACAAAAACTCCTTTCATAAGAAAAAACCTCATAAAACCCATAATTTTGATTTCCATAATGAAATGCTGTGTACTGACACCTAATTATCTTTTAAACAGATGAAAGTGATAATAGTAGTAAAACTGCAAGTGTCAGTAAAAATTTATTCATTAAGCATGATCACCATAGTTCTTCTTAAAAAATATGATTTTGCCTGTAATCCCAGCACTTTGGGAGGCCAAGGTGAGCTGATCATCTGAGGTCAGGAGTTCGAGACTAGCCTGGCCAACATGAGGAAACCCTGTCTCTACTAAAAGTAAAAAAATTAGCTGGGTGTGGTGGTGCACCCCTGTAATCCCAGCTACTCAGGAGGCTGAGGCACGAGAATTGCTTGAACCCAGGAGGCAGAGGTTCCAGTGATTCAAGATCGTGCCATTGTACTCCAACCTGGGCTACAGAGCAAGACTCAGTCTCAAAAAAAAAATTTTTTTTTAATTGCAATGATTGTTCACATTTAAATCGTATTACCATATTAAATTATGAATTACATAATTGATAAATTATTTTGCTTAATATATCTTTATTTCAAAACCTTAGAAAAGATAATATTGTGCTGTCTTTTTTTGTTTTTGTTTTTGAGACGGAGTCTCGCTTTGTTGGCCCAGGCGTGGCGCAATCTCGGCTCACTGCAAGCTCCGCCTCCCAGGCTCATGCCATTCTCCTGCCTCAGCTCTCACGAGTAGCTGGGACTACAGGCGCCCGCCACCACGCCCGGCTAATTTTTGTGTGTGTGTGTTTTTAGTAGAGACGGGGTTTCACCGTGTTAACCAGGATGGTCTCGACCTCCTAACCTCATGATCTGCCCGCCTTGGCCTCCCAAAATTAATAAGGAAAAATCCCTACTGACTGTCCAACTGTCCTTTCTTTTAACAGAAATACTAAACATTATTTCAACTTTTTTATATCTACTAAATCCATGTGGCTCTCTAGAATGGAAAATGGGAGACTATGTTATAACTCCGTTGTGAAAACTTTTAGTATAGATATCCGTGGTATACCAAGCAGTTTTCATACAGCTGCGCAGTACTTAGTGGCTTCCTAAAAATGTTTCAAGGCTTGCCGCTGTACATATTGTCAGAAAATGATCATTCCCACAAACTTTCTCATGGAAAGTAAAAATGGTGACTTTGCACCTTCTTGCTTTCTTTTGTAAAAACATCATTTGGTCCCTCTCATTTAAGACTGAAAAGAAGGCTTAGGGGGATACATAAAAATAGGACACTGCTTTTTTTTTTTTTTTTTTTGAAATGGAATCTTGCCCTGTTGCCCAGGCTGGAGTGCAGTGGTACGATCTCGGCTCACTGTAAGCTCTGCCTCCTGGGTTCAAGCCATTCTCCTGCCTCAGCCTCCCAAGTAGCTGGGACTACAGCCGCCCGCCACCAAGCCCAGCTAATTTTTTTGTATTTTTAGTAGAGACGGGGTTTCACCCTGTTAGCAAGGATGGTCTTGATCTCCTGACCTCATGATCCGCCTGCCTTGGCCTCCCAAAGTGCTGGGATTACAGGCGTGAGCCACCGCGCCTAGCCAGGATGCTGTTTTAAAGAAGTCTGTGCTCAATATTTACTAAAGATGAATTTTATGAAACTATTTTTAGAATCTAATAAAATAATATAACAAATAATTTCAAAAATATGTCTTGTTCTGTTAAGATTCACAAGGCAGTTATATTTGAATGTTAAAAATATATATGTGCTAATGCAGCATATACAGATGTTGAAATCTCAAGCAGATATTTGTTGCAAGGTTAGTATATACTACTTATTTAAACAGAACAATATATTCCTTTTTCTGTTTCCTATCAAATTAAGAATCAACTAATCAAAAATATAAATTATGCCCTAGATTTGAGCAACCTGCATCCAAATATTCAAATAATCTGTTTACAAAGTAGGAATGGACATCAGTCTGTCCATAGCCAGTGAAAATAATAGAACATAGAATTTCGTTAGAATAGGAAATGTTTTACTTTCAACTTGTGTAACTACAAATAAGTTACCTCACTTTTCTGAAGCTTAGTTGTCTTATCTGTAAAATGTAGTTCCAGTGTGACTGATGAGAGTTCATGTTTTCTTCAAAGCATTTAGAATGGGGCTTAGAGAGAAAAGAAAGCAGTATTTGAAAGCATGAACTTTGAAGGCTGATTACCTTGTTTGACTCCAGCTCTACCAGTTACTGACTAAGTAACTTAGGGCAAGTTACTTAACGTGCCTCAGTTTCCTAATCTATATAATGGTGATAATACCTGTACATATCACATAAAGTAATTGCAAAGAATGAATGTCAATGTATGTAAAGCATTTAAAATCGGGGTTAGCGCACAAGAAATGTGTGTGCTTTTTTTACGAATAGTGGCTATATTCTGACATATGTTAACAAGTGAATATCACCTTTGACAATATCTATAGATACTAATGGGGATCAATAATATAGTGATAGTAACTAAATAATTTCGTGTATCTTTTTCTTTAAAATATTAAACTGTTTCATTTCGTATTTAGGAAATATGGGAGTGCACTAATTGTTAACACAAAGATTATCTAAAGAGGCCCGAGAGAGAGAGAGACATAGAGAGAGAGAGAGAATTATCCAAGAGTTCTCCCAGAACAAAATTCTAATCAAACCAATTTGATTAGTGTTGAGTTGGAAAAGTGAAGAGACAAAAGTTGTTTGTACAATTTTTCTCAAACTTTTATTCATTGTTAAATTAAGAACTAACTGGTCGGGAGCAGTGGCTCACGCCTGTAATCCCAGCACTTTGGGAGGCCGAGGCGGGCGGATCACGAAATCAGGAGATCGAGACCATCCTGGCTAACATGGTTAAACCCTGTCTCTACTAAAAATACAAAGAGAAAAAATAGCCAGGCGTGGAGTCGGGTGCCTGTAGTTCCAGCTACTTGGGAGGCTGAGGCAGGAGAATGACGTGAGGGGGTGGAGGGTGGGGGGTGGGGGGCAGAGCTTGCAGTTAGCTGGGATCGCGCCACCGCACTCTAGCCTGGGCGACAGAGGGAGACTCCGTCTCAAAAAAAATAAAAATAAATAAAATAAATAAGAACTAACCGTCTCCCACTTTAAATACATCTTTATTCAATTTTTTTGTTAGGTGGGAGTAAATAAGGATAAAAGAGTTCTGATTAGAGTAGCTAATTACCTAAGTATATGTGGTTATTGGAGCTTCATATGTTACTAAATTCATAGGAAGTGTCTTGAAGCTGTACAACTTCTAGTTTAATTTGTCAAATATAAAATAGAATTTTTTTTTCTGTTAGCACCCACCTCAGAACAACAAAGAGAAAAAGAACCAGAAAAGCAATTGTCATTGTCCACAAAAGTAAGCAGCTTCTGTAACACAAAAAGGGATAGAAAAAAAAATTTCTAAATGCAGTGAAACTCAAACACAGGGGAGAAAAGATATTCAGAAAAGATGATTGTAGTGCAGACCTCAGACCAAGTCAGTTCTTCAGAAAAGATGCTGGTCCTTTGTTTATTTATAATAAAAAGAATGGGATTCACAGGCTGGCAATGTATCCTCCTCTTGAGTTTGTTTTGAAAGCAAGGTTGAACAAAAAACCATTAAGACATATAATCTTGGAAGCTAATAAAGAGCAGGTAAGTTGCTAGTGCAAAAAGGGGCTATGAAGCAATACACTCTCTATAAAACAGATATTTAAAGATATCATTATTGAAGCAGTGTTTATAATAGAAGAAAATATAGAATCACAAAAACATTCTTCAAAAGGGCATTTGATAAATGAATTTCATACATCATTGGAGGAGAATTCTATTCAGCTCTTAATGAACAAAGAGAAGCTTTACAAATAATGATATTAAATAATGCCTTAAATATAGTGTTAATTGATATAGCATTGCCCAGTTATCCTTTTGAAAATTACTGATAATGAGGTGGGCGTGGTGGCTCACGCCTGTAATCCAGCACTTTGGGAGGCCGAGGCAGGCGGATCAACTGAGGTCAGGAGTTCGAGACTACCCTGGCCAACATGGCAAAACCCCATCTCTACTAAAAGTAGAAAAATTAGCTGGGCATGGTGGCAGGTGTCTCTAACCCCAGCTACTCAGGAGACTGAGACAGGAGAATTGCTTGAACCCGGGAGGTGGAGGTTTCAGTGAGCTGAGATAGTGCCACTGCACTCCAGCCTGGGTGACAGAGCGAGATGCCACCTTAGAAAAAAAAAATTACTGATAATGACAAAAATTATGATGAACATTAAACCTGGGAGTCATACCTAGGCTTACAGCATAACACTGAGGAAGGGCTTTCAAATTGAGTGAAGGTCAAGAAGGAGTGCAGGGAGATATTAAGCCAGGGCAGAAAGACAGCATAATTGATTGGGGGTCTCAGACAAATAGCACAGCATATGCATTTAAAGTAGGGGCAAATAAACTCTTTTTTGTAAAAATAGGAGCAACCAACAAAGTTTACTTACAAAGCAGGAATTTTAGTAGACACAATGGACATCATAGGGAAATACAAAAGACAGAAACACACACACACACACACACAGAAAGTCTTTCAGCAAAGCACGTTGGAGAGAAAGAAAAGACTCTGTATTTTGAAAAGACCTGAAGTTTCTAATCTCTATAGAGTAGGAAGATGCAAAATAACTTAGATGCTCATAAAATTCATTGTGAGTCAGAGATGATCATTTCTAACACAAACAACAGGTGGTAAAAGAAGTATCAGCCTCATTAAAAGTCAGTTATTAATTTAAAAATAATCAAAATTTATAAAAGAAGCCAGTGGATGGAGGAAAAAAAAGATAAACCAACAAGTCAATTATCCAAATGTTTTCATAAATCTGGAGAAAATTGTTAACAAAATTTTCACAATAATTTAACAAAAAAACATGCATTATCTGATAGTTTCTGTGGGTCAGGTATTCAGAAGCATAGCTGGGTGGTCTGGTTCAGGGTTTCGCATAGGATTGTTATCATTATGTCTGCCTGTAGCACAGTCTTCCAAAGGCTTGATAGGAGTTGAGGATCCACTTCCCTGTGCATTCATGTGACAGATGTCAGATTGTCTCAGTTCCTCACCATGTGGGCTGCTTCACAGGGCTACTCACAAGGCAGCTTACATGCCCCAGAGTGAGTGATGTGAGAGGGAGAGTTAGAGAGTTCAAGAGAGAAAGAGAGAGAAATGCTAATAATAGTGCCTGTTGTGATCGAGTGTTTAGAGTTGCGTGCTGTCACTTCCACTTTATTGTATTTGTTAAAAACAAGTCACTAAGTTTAGCAAACAGCCAAAAAGAGGGGGTTAGGTCCACCTCTTAAAGAAAGAAGTATCAAAAATGTGTGACTGTATTTACAAAACCAGCACATTACCTATTTTAAATCTAAACTCAAAACACGACATAAAAGCCCAGAAAAGATACAGGGAGATAAAGATTAACGTGGTAGACCTCAAAAAATTTGAGAGAAAAATTTTTATAGAAATGAAAACTAAATTGAAAACAAGACAGAAGCGCTAGGTACTGATAAATACATAGTAAAGGCCCATGGAGGACTTGGTACTGAGAAAAATAAAATGAAAATTATTAGATATTTGATGGAATTAAAGAGGAAATGATTTTGATTTTCAGTAAAGATGTTTAAAACTATTGGCATTCTCGCTCTGTACAAATTGTAGGCTTCATTTCTCTGTAAATAAAACTCAGGCATGAGCCTGTTACTTCCTATCGCCAGCAAAATATATGAACCAAAGTGGGAGTGATACATACCCTTCTGAATACATGCCATCTTCAAAAAGATAAAGATTTTTTGAGGTAGCAAGGTGAAAATATATATATATTTTTAAGATATGAGAAATATCTGAATGCTGACGGGAAGATCTATTAGAGAAAATTTAATCAAAAAGAGAGAGAGAAACCTATAAGAGCAATGATCTCTATTAAGCTAAATATTTGAAATCTAGGCACCACTGAAAGGGAAATAGAGTTTAGCAAAACGGCAAAATATACAACTACATATGCCAGCAGGTGGGAGCATGGTGAATGGGGTATGTGCAGATTCTCTACTCATTGTTCTAAGTTTTTCATAAGAAAGGAAGAAAAGTCCTTAACTAAGAGTGAAGATGGAAGAGGGGTTCTTGCAAGTTTTAGGATTAAGGAGAAAAAATGAGTGGTCGTCAAGGAACATAGGAAAGTGAGTGGATTAGAGAAATATACTGTAATTACTAAGTAGACTTGAGAGCCAAACTGAGGCAATATGAAGAGCTCACTTGACATTTAGGTCGGAAGTTTATGGCTTATCTTCTACAGTGCCTGTCCACATCTCTGCTAGACATCATCTCTTTTGCCTTTTAAGGTCCATTTCTCACCCTTCTCTACCACCCTTCTCCACTCTACTCTTTTCCCTGGAAGGGTGACCAGTATGAGCTCCATCAGAATGTTTCCTTGCCTTCAGATTTGTGGTTCGCATTCAACAGTAGGAGGCATAGCCAGGAAATAGGAGGCATAGCCAAGTATTGCCAAATATATATATATACACATATATATTTTTCCCCTGTCCATAATAACTTTCTGCTCATTCCCTTTCAGTCCTAGAAAACCAAACAGTGTCTCTGCTATTTCTAGTCTCAAGATACTGCAATAAACGTTGGTGCTTTTCCTAAACCCTGTCCACAACTTTGTAAATCGACCCTTTAATTACTCAGTTTGAGTGTTTTATCTGTTTCTGACAGGGACTCTGCCTAATGCACTATTAATGACCCACTTTCCTATTTGTAGGACTTCCTGTCATATTTTAGGCATTAATGCCTTGTGAATTTTAGATATCACAAAGATAGTTTTTAGTTTCTCATTTTCTGTTAGTGTTATCTATGAAGTCCTTCACTGAAGAGAACTACATAATTTTATGTTGATTTTTCAAAGTGATAACTTCTATAAATAATGACACTATTATTCTCTCCTCACCAATTCCTAAAACTCTTGTGAACATTTTCTTCCCTATGTTCTTGATTATACCATCCACTATCAAGTCAAAATGTTGGGCTTCCCTGAATGTGCTGGTTCTTGCAATTGGACATGTCCCATGCCAGGATGCTAAAATTTGTGCTCATGGGCTGTTATAATAAATATTGGCTCCATTTTTTAAATGTATGACTTTTAAGCAGGGTGGCTTTCATAGCCACCTTGTAATATAGTTGCTATATTAGTGAGTATGTTACTGAGTTTCCTGAGGTATAAGTGTGTGGATAAGGGCAAGAAATTCACCCCTTGACTGAAATGGGAACTCCCACCTTAGAGATGCACCTGATGAAATCTTACTGGCATGCAGTTTTCTGCCTTGATTCTTGGGGCCTGCTATGACTTCCTGAGGGTCTCTTGAATGTCTCATTAATGCTAATACTTCAAATTTTGTACACTGTAGTGTCCAACATGGGATGCTCTTTATAACCTATAACTCAAGAATATGCAGTAAAAAGCACAAGCAAAGAGATGCTAAAGAGAAATCAATGCCACAGTGAGAGATTAAACCTACCTCTGATTGATAGTGAAAGGTATCTATAGCAAATAACAGAGGATAAATCTCCTTTGTCAGAGTAAATAAAGTCTAGAGGGATGCAGGATCATTGTGGAGGAATACTGCCTTTTGCCTTCACTGACCATGATATAAACTTGTTCAAACACTCAGCTGTAACTAGGTGGTTTATAATGAGCTTGCCTTTAGAGTGAATAATGCCTTTGTACTAAATGCCATTTGCAAAGGTGCTGATGTTATTGGTTATGGTGGAGAAAAGCCAACACAGGTACTGATATATTGCTGAGTGGTGAATGCAGGCACATAAGCCAATACACTCCATGCTTGTGACTTGGAAAGCACTTGTCAGAGGAAGATGTATTGGTTCCAACCTGACAGGGCTCCTATCTTCTCTGAGAGATGTGTATAAGGTACTTATACAATAGCCTGCAGGAATAAACAGGTCTACATTGCTGCAACAACTTGGCATATACCAGGGCTTCAGGGGAAGAATTTGCAGAGACTCCTAAGCTTCAAATATAATGCATTATAGACAGATAATAGATAGATGGATAGATAGGTAAATAGATAATCATATATCTGGGTCTTAGCCGTTGTGTGACCAGGGTTCCAAAGGGGCAGTGAAGTGAGTGTTAGTGATCTGGCTGTGAACCTGTAACTGAGTAGAAACTTCCATCTCCACAAATGCAAGGATGAGTTTAAACCTATATTAGAATATGAACCTTGGTATTGCAAACTCAAAACCTCTCTGAATTTAAAATTAAAGTTAAGACATAGCAGAAGATAGAGCCTGTATGTTTAATAGTTTAACCCAGAAAGATACTCATTTTCAGTTTTGTCTGTGGTATAAATATATATTCAGATTGGATAAAGCGCCAGATTAACTGATGGTATGTAAAAAAGATTGTTTTTTCTAAAAGGACTAGATAATATTACAGTATTATGTTTGATATGCTAAACATACTCTGTATTTTCAGTGTCCAGTACAGTAACTGCTAGCTACATGCAACTACCAAGCACTTGAAAAGTTACTAACACAGTTGAAAAGCTGATTTTCAGATTTTATTTAATTTTAAATGCATTTATTTCTTTAATTTATAAGTTTAAATTTAAATGTAAATGTCAATAGTCACGTGGCTAGTGGCTAACTACACTAAGAAACTGAGAGGATAGAATATTTCGAAGTACCTAATTTGTTTTGTTGGTTTTTTTTGTTTGTTTTTTTAAGATGGAGTCTTGCACTGTCACCCAGGCTGGAGCGCAGTGCCCAGATCTCTGCTCACTGCAAACTCCGCCTCCCAGGTTCACGCCATTCTCCTGCCTCAGCCTCCCAAGGTGCTGGGACTACAGGCGCCCACCATGCCAGGCTAATTTTTTGTATTTTTAGTAGAGACAGGGTTTCACCGTGTTAGCAAGGATAGTCTGGGTCTCCTGACCTTGTGATCCAACCATCTCGGCATCCGAAAGTGCTGGGATTACAGAAGGGAGCCACCACGCCCGGCCATACCTAAATATTTTTTTAATACTGCATTAGCGATATCTCACCATTTCACAATTGATATATTCACTTTTATTTTATTTAGTAATTTAGTAATTACTTATTTAGTAAGTTAGTAATCTTTATAATACTTTGTTTATAATCAATAGGTTTTTTAGTAACATAGCATTTCTAGTTTGTGATAATTTTATGTTTAGAGTGTTATTTTCTTATTTTATAGCACTCCTTTAGATCATAAAATGCACCATAGGTCATGATTAGTTTAACTTATATTCTGAAAAAGATGAAAGCTATTACATCTTTGATCAGCAGGTAGTGACATGCACAGATATGTTTTGTTAGGTTATTTTGGCAACATACTTATTGGACAAGGATAAGGATAGAGTCAAGTAATATAGTTAGAAAACTATTTGAGTTTTCAAAGCAGGAGAAACTGAGTGCATAAAGTCTGAGCAGTGAGGCCGGGTGCAGAGGCTCACGCCTGTAATCCCAGCAACTCGGGAGGCTGAGGTGGGTGGATCACTTGAGGTCAGGACTTCGAGATCAGCCTGGCCAACATGGCGAAACCCCGTCTCGACTAAAAAGTGCAAAAATTAGCCCGGCGTGGTGGAGTGCACCTGTAATCCCAGCTACTTGGGAGGCTGAGGCAGAAGAATCTCTTGAACCCAGGAGGTGGAGGTTGCAGTGAGCAGAGATCATGCCACTGTACTCCAGCCTGGGCGACAGAGAAAGACCCTATCTAAAAAAAAATAATAATAATAAATAAATAAAATAAAAAAAATCTGAGCAGTGATATTGATTAAAAAGAGATGATTATGGATTTGAAAGATATTTCTGAAGATAAATATCAATATTAGTGACCACTTGAGTAGTCTTCTGAAAATTTACGTCTAGATATGATGTACCTCTTAGTCTATAAATATAGCGTTGCAAATCTTTCAAATGGAGACAACTCTAGTTTCATATTTTAAAAAGTTGAAAATGATTGCTATGTATGATTCCATTTGCTGCCTCACTGGCTCACATAAACAATACTATTATTATAATAAGTCATCCTTAAAAGCAAACACCTCTGAGCATCAAAGTATCTTTTGGGAAGCTTATTATTTTAAGTGACATAAAATCCACCTCATCACCTGTTAGATAGTAAGAGGAAGTTTTGTGTGTCACAACTGAAAATTCCAGAAGTAAAGCTAGATCAAGCAAGGTTTGGTCCATCATCTCAAATATTTTCAACAAGGATGATGATAAGCTTGGTCTGTTTTGCACTGCCTTCTCTGTCAGCAAAAAAAAAAAAAAAAAAAAAAAAGGTTTTCTTCACATCCATTCACCAGCTTTCCTTTGTAGTTGGAAATAAGGATGCACCATAGGTCATGATTAGTTTAACTTATAAAGAACTTTGCTTTGCCGGAATCCATAGCAAACATATTTTTTCATGGGCCAGCACTAGTTTCTGTCTCTATTTTTGAAAAACAAAAAACTATTTTGATTAGGGTTATCAAATAAGCTTATTGAATTAAGTCTTTAGTGTCCACTTATGAAGAGGAGAGGAATTGGCATAAATACCAACTTAACCACATTCCCTAGAGATTAGGCTAGTTAATAACAATCATTTCAAAATTCCAGATACTATTATTTTTAAAAGAGGTTGAAAAATGCTGAGTGCCAAAATCATTGTTACCTGGCCATGGAACAGTTATAATTTTAGAAATCTTTAGGAGATGGATTTTCTGCCAAAAGCAATATTGATGATATTCTTATAACTGTTGCCAAATATCAGGGGTTAATCTACTGAAACAGATTTATCTCGAGGTTCTCAACACACTAAAAAATTCCTTCAATCTGATTATTAAAGACCTTATCAGTTAAAACAATAAAAACACACAGTGCCTCACGCCTGTAATCCCGGCACTTTGGGAGGCTGAGGCAGGTGGATCATTTGAGATCAGGAGTTCAAGACCAGCCTGGCCAACATGGTGAAACCCTGTCTCTACTAAAAATACAAAAAAATTAGCTGGGGGTGGTGGTGGGCGTCTGTGATCCCAGCTACTTGGGAGGTTGACGCAGGAGAATTGCATGAACCCAGAAGGTGGAAGTTGCAGTAAGCTGAGATTGCACTATTGCACTCCAGCCTCAGTGACAGAGCGAGACTCTGTCTCATAAAAACGAAAAGCAAAAAAAAAATAAAATAAAAATAAAAATAAAAACATCAACAATGAAATGATTGACATAAAAATGTGTCTAATAACATTTTAAATTAGGAAATTAATTTTGGTATGCTTCATAAATAAAACATAATGGATTAGCATTACAATGGACAACTTTGGTTTTAATTGTAAGCACTTGAATATATTTCAAGGGTTTATCTGTGATGTTGTATCAGTGAAGTATTAGCAAAATGTTTCTGTAATTTGTGTCATCTGAGAAAAATTAATTTAAAGCAAAGTGTTGGGTTAAGAGGTCAATCTAAATTTAAATTGAAATGTTAAGGACCCACACAAAGCTTATACCCAGAAGACCAACTTCTACTACATTATTTCTTCAAATTGTAACAGATTCTATTTTGAGACAATGAATTCTGACCTTATATTAATTGGGAAACCAAAGTTTGGTTTTGTTTTTCTTTAAGAATATCAAAAGAGAATAAAGAGAACAAATTTCTGAAGTAATAGAGAATATATATGTGTATTTATACATATAGAAACAAGCACACACATAGACACATGTATAATAGACTCTATATATAGATATAGATATAGATATCTATAGATAGAGACAGAAATACGTACATTATATCTACATCTATCTATATATCTATATCTGTAAATCTACATCTCGAGAGAGAGAGAGAAAGTGTCTATGTGTGGGGGGGTGGGGGGAGGGCTGTCCTCATCCAGGATGTTTCCATGTGAGCCAGAAGTAATGAACTTAAATCCTTTTTTGGTGAAAATTATTGTTATTCCTTAAAACCAAGAAAGAATCTCTGGAAATTTGAAGGCTCATGTAATTACTAAAGAGTACATAAAACCACAAATAAGATAATATATAAATATAGTAACATCTTAGACAATAATATTTTGCAAATTTAAGTAAGTATAATTCTTCATGGTAGTCACCATGACAGTTTGTATGGTCTACTAACGCCATTATTAAAAATAGACAAATTTCTACTTTGAATGAATTTTTATTTGACTTCTGCTTTTGAATATTCTCAATTATTATTTCTTTCTTTTGAAAGCATTCCCCAGGGCAGCCCTGATGAAATAGCCTGGAAAGTTCTTTTTTTTTTTTTCCTCGAGATACAGTCTTGCTCTGTCGCCCAGGCTGGAGTGCAGTGGCATGATCTCAGCTCACTGCAACCTCCACCTCCTGGGTTGAAGCAATTCTCCTGCCTCAGCCTCCCGAGTAGCTGGGATTACAGGCGCTTGCCACCATGCTCGGCTAATTTTTGTATTTTTAGTAGAGATGGGGTTTCACCATGTTGGCCAGGCTGGTCTTGAACTCCTGACCTCATGATCTGCCCACCTCAGACTCTCAAAGTGCTGGGATTACAGGCATGAGCCACCGCGCCTGGCCGGAATGTTCTTTTTCTTACTGATTTTCCATTAGTTTCTTGTTTATAGGCGCAGCTGCTTCAAGAAACCAGATGGTCCGGGATAGCGCCAGAGCTTCACAACCCCAGACCAGATACTTTGAAAAGTTTTATAACAGTTGGTTTTGAATTTGTTCTAGTTTTCTGGTGTTTTCATGAGAGGAGTGGTATTTTGGACCACTTCTGACATTCTGGAAGCCCCACTACTATTTCTTAATCAGAAAAAATATGAAACTTCTCCAGTCGTTAGACACCTGTCTGTATTTTAGATTCTCACTAGAGATTTAAACAGAAACAGGATGTCAATTTCTTTTACGTCAAAAGCCTGACTAAAAGAATTTATAAATCAGACACCTGAGCTAATGGCCATGCCTTAGACATTCCTCTAAGATGTGTGAAAGAAAATAGAATCTTGGGACCTCAAACTTATCAGGACAAAAGAAAAATTAACCATGGGAACTGAGTCACAAAATACTGCCATCCTTTTGTTCCCAAACAGATAGTTGTAATTTCACAACTCTGTGTCACAGCCTCATCCGTAAGCCAGGTTCCCACAATGATAGAGGATCACATATCTCCCCAGATGGCCTCCCTCACAAATTGCTCACAAGGAAGTCCCTTGTAAGCTCCCATATCTTTTAAGATACATATCCCCCCTCTGTAAACTATCCCTAAAACTGAGTTCTGTTGAATCTTACTCTGACAATATCAATAACCAGTTTATCTTCACAGGTTATAGGACAAGACCAGAAATCATCCCTTCACCTACCCTGAGACAAATGCATAATTGACTTTTTCCTCTACTCCTTCACATGTTTACTTTATCATATGTAAAATGTAGATTTACTGAGTCTAATCAGACCCTCATAAGAATGTAACCATTTGCTTCATTACCTACCTTTCCTTCCTCTTTTACCTCCTGCTTGCTCTTTCCCCTTTAAATACTGAAGTTCCCAAAACCCCTTTTGGAAAAAACACAGGTCACAGAAGCTCCTGTGATTTGTGTTTTTTCCCAGGTGTATCCTCATCCTTGGCTAAATAAACCCCTATTAATTGAGGCCTGCCTCAGTCACTTTTTGGTTAACAGATGTAAGTCGTCCCCTATTCAGGGGTCCCCAAGCCCCAGGCTGTGGACCAGTACCCGTCTGTGGCTTGTTATTAACTGGGTGGCAAAGCAGGAGGGCAAGCAAGTATTACCATCTGAGTTCTGCCTCCTGTCAGATAGCAGCAGCATTAGATTCTCATAGGAGCCCTAACCCTACTACGAATTGCACATGCAAGGGATCTAAATTGTGGGCTCCTTATTAGAATCTGATTATCTTTTCAAAACCATTCCCCATGGTCCGTGGAAAAATTGTCTTCCACGAAACTGGTCCCTGGTGCCAAAAATGTTGGGGACTGCTGCTATACATCAGTTTAGAGGACCTGAAAGCCACTGACTTGTACATCAGTAGCATATATCTTTATAGAATCAATTATTTGAGTTACATTTCATTGTTATTCTTGTATCAGTTTTTTTTTATGAATTCAGGAATAAAATATTTTACAAATCTGTTCTGTACCTATCATAAAACTATTAGGTCGGTGCAAAAGTAATTGCAGCTTTTGCTATTACTTTTAATGGGAAAACCGCAATTACTTTTGCACTGGTTGCCTAATAGTATTGAGACCACTGTGTACCATTGTGTATATGGTGCTAAAAGATAAGCTGAGGCACATTAAAATATCAAAGAGCTTATTTGGTCCCACAGTGACTTATAAACCAAGCAGTGCCAGACACCTAGCAGCTAGGGGCTACCCTGAGGGAGTGTGAGGGGAAGGCTTTCAGAAGGTGAAAAAGAAGCAAAGCATAGGAATCACTGGATTGGTTAAAGTGGAACAGTAGCCTTATTTGGATAATTCCGGTAGGAAATCCTTGTTTAGAGGTTAGTTGGAAGTTTCTGATTAGTTAAGCTTAAGTTTTGCTTTCCTAAAATATGACCATTTATGCTGAGTTGGGTTTTAGTTTGCTTACATAGGAAACCATAATGCTAGAGCAAACTCAGTTTACTGGCCTCCCAACTAATTTTGTAATCATGTACTTACCTTATTCACTACTTTGAATCAGAAAAAGAGAAGCAATGCATCTCTTGGGGAAAATGTGTCTTGTAATATATTTCAAATTGTGGGTGTATCAGGTAGCTATACAGTGTTGGACACTGAATTTCTTCATATATTTGATATTATTTCCTTTTATGTAAAATGGAATATAAGATGTTTGAGAGAGGTTGCTGAGTTACTCTGAAAGTTATAACTTTTTATTATGGGATTTGATTGCTAAGATTGAGGAAAATGTATTTTTTTTTCTGGTCTTAGCAATATAATTGGCAAAACTTGGAGTTTTCAGGGAGTTTAGAATCTAGATGTAATGATAAACAATAAGCATGTAAACAAATATTTGGTAAAGATTTTGACTTGCAATTGGAATGAAAAATTATTGGCTGGGTGCAGTGGCTCATACCTGTAATCCCAGCACTTTGGGAGGCCGAAGCAGGCGGATCATGAGGTCAGGAGTTTGAGATCACCCTGACCAATATGGTGAAACCTTGTCTCTACTAAAAATACAAAAATTAGCTGGGCTTGGTGGCACACACCTGTAATCCCAGCTACTCAGGAGGCTGAGGCAGAAGAATCACTTGAACCAGGGAGGCAGAGGTTGCAGTGAGCCAAGATCAAGCCATTGCACTCCAGCCTGGGCGACAGAGCAAGACTCTGTCTCAAAAAAAAAAAAAAAGAAAAGAAAGAAAAATTATTGAGCTATTCTCAATCTTAATTGACTAGATTGTCATTTACATATTTTTGATTTGACCCAATTCCATGTAGGGATTAAGTTGTATTAGAGAAAATGATATCAACTAAATAATTAGTTAAATGATGTGATGAGTATATAGAACTTTTAGAGGAGGAGTTAAGGAGGAAGAAGAAAACTGTATTGTATATTAGGGTTTCCTCATTTTCATTTGATGTATTTTAGTCCAGATTTGATTGCCTTTTAGTTTTAAATCACCTTCACTGCATTTAATGTTTCTTGTTCATTTAAAAACTATATTTTGAACACAACTGTAAAATATTCTGTTCATGTAAGAACATTATATTAGATTAATTATTGTTTATTACTCTAACAATATTCTAAATGAATACATTTTCTACAATAAGACTGAATAATGACATATCCCTAATTTTTTTCACATCCTCCATTAGACAAGGATCTCATTATAGTGTATAAAATAATAAAACCAGAGCTTTATGTTCTCTTAATGTTTATGAACAAGATATTAAATAAAATTTAACATAAAAAATTTAGCTATGTCAATAGAATTCTTCTAAAAATATTTTTGTTAGTTTTCATTCTACCTTGGAAACACCATGATAAACTAAGATAGAATTGTTTTTGAATCACTGATTAAAAAATGAATACTTGTCTGATCCATGTATTTACAAGTGAACAATGTAAACCCAGTCAGCTGGCCAATTTATTTATAATAATGAAGAGAAATGAAGCACAGAGAAATTAGTGACTTGGTAACAAAACAAAGCTGGTTTGTTGTATACGCTAAGTCTGGATCCCATATCTCCTGACTGACACTAGACAAGGACTCAAGAAACGTATTAATTAAGTTATACTTTATTTGTTCATTCACTTGGTCATGTTTCATATGAATCCAGGCCAAATGTTCACTGTTATTTTCATTTGATATAATGCTAATAAGATTGACTAAATTTTTAGCTTTTTAAAATTTTCTTCTTTTATTTTTTTGAGACAAAAGTCTCGCTCTGTCATCCAGGCTGGAGTGCAGTGTTGTGATCTCCGCTCACTGCAACCTCTGCTTCCTGGGTTCAAGTGATTCTCCTGTCTCAGCCTCCTGAGTAGCTGGGATTACAGGTGCCCGCCCCCATGCCTGGCTAATTTTTGTATTTTTAGTAGAGACGGGGTTTTGCCATGTTGGCCAGGCTGATCTTGCACTCCTGACCTCAAGTGATCCACCCGCCTCAGCCTCCCAAAGGGCTGGGATTACAGGAGTGAGCCACGGTGCCAGCCTACCTTTTTTTTTTTTCTTAACAGAATACATATAAGGAGATGAGGAAATTAGTAAATGTAATAAAAGGCAGTTGTTTCTTATTAACAAAGCTGGTTGGCTATGAGAAAGCATAGTAAACACATATTTTGTTAAAAATTTCTATGGAATGGATAATTACTCCAAAGAGTAATTAATTAGAATTTAAAATAGTTGAAGCTTCTTTTGCCTGCTCTTCATCTTCAGTCTGATTGCCTTGTGGTTGGTGATGTAACTAGCTTAGAGTACTTCACACTAACAGTTCTCAACAATCAAGTAAAGTTAAGCAAGATATAATTATCCATGGAATTACACATCATCAATTACTCAAAAACATCTTGTTGATTCCTTAGCAATGATAGCCTTAAAAAGTTTCAGTTTTAAGGGTCAAGTATCAAATTAAAGGCAACAATATGAGGTTTAATACATAGCTATTTAAGTAAGGAGGAAGACAACTCATAAAATCTAAATTAATGTGTCATACTTGAGAAAAATCATATTATAGTTTTCTTTCTTATATTTTATTCATATTAAAAATGATAAGTATCATCTTATTACTACTATTAATTTAATTGAAGTGCAGGTATTTGTTATATAATTCATATATTTTCTCCAATAGCATATAGAATGGAATCAGATCAGGCCTCTCAACCAGATATTATTTTAAGATCCTTACAGCTTTGTAGTCCTCTGTGGTGCAGGTCAAATTTTGTCACAGAATCTTAAGAATCTATATTTAAATAACTGTGAA
Organism: Homo sapiens; assembly: GCF_000001405.40. Taxonomy (NCBI): domain Eukaryota; kingdom Metazoa; phylum Chordata; class Mammalia; order Primates; family Hominidae; genus Homo; species Homo sapiens. The sequence continues at coordinate 98,399,631 of NC_000011.10, read as the reverse complement.
ATTATCCATAAAATGCACTAAATGTATAATGGTCTCCTGCAAGAGCAGAATTACTAGGATGGGCATATTACCCATAGTAAAGCTGATTTATGCTGAGGAAAGTTTATTTTTTCTAAAAAGGTGGTCATGACAATCATTGCATCATAGTAGATTTTTTAACAATTCTATATTATAATGTTCTTTGGAACCAGGTCAGGTGAAAGGATAGCCAGTTTAGAAATCTGTCATACATTATCAGTATAAGCCTGACTGAAATATACCTTGGACCTTTGTGTTTCAAACTTAAATTTCTCTGGATAAATCATTGTATGCAGTATTTATGTAGTAGAACAAAAATATCAAATGTATTCAATAAAATACATGATGATTTTTACCATTTGCTTTATTCAATCTTATTGTATTATTAATGTGTAGTGTTGGTTATAAATACTGTGGTTTACCTGTCTAAATTACTTTCAGAGGTAGTTACATAATTTGTTAAAAGTATTGCCTACCACTCCTTTGCCCATATCTACATTCTGAAAAAAAGAAATATTATAGTATGTTTACACATGTGTATGCACCATACACACACACACACACACACACACACACACACGGCACACATAGCACATATATATTAACTATTTTTATTAAGAAATCATGGTTCTTATAAAACACCTCGGAGTACCATAATGGCCAGATATTGATATAGATGTAGATATATTTGTAAAGAAAAGTTATTTAGAACCTTGATCATTTAAAAGTGCACAATGGACTAAATTGACACTAAGATAATGGTGGCTGTCTGTATCTGATTCTATGCAAACATTAAAAAATAAAATAAAAAACTCTACAGTTTATATGATGGATAAAAACTGCATATAAATCACAACTTCAGCACCATGTGGTGAAGACAGTACCATAGTCCTCAGATTACCTATCAGTAGACAACAGGCTTACAACAGCAACATATCCAGTAGAATTATAGTTCTGTTGTAACCTTGTGGCAAGAAGAAGTCCAAAGATATTCCACAGAAGAAAAATGATGAAGTCACAGATGAAGCATAAACAACACCACTCACAGAAAGAGAATGTCAATGCTAAGTGTTAAAATAGAGAAGACAAGTGTGACATTTGCCAGTTTACAGAATTAAGTATAGAGAAGAGCTTCAAACCAAGTAGACTGAAAATGGTAACCTAAAGAAAACATTATTTTGAGAAGATAAGGGAATAAATAAAGAAGGGAAGAGGTTTTTGTTGTTGTTGTTGCTGTTGTTGAGGCTTGGCAGTGCAATAAAAAATAAGTAAACATAAGATAAGATGAAAAAGTTACAGATCACATGCACACAAGAGGAAACATAATACAGCCCCAAATCTCTCCCTTCCCACCAGGGCCACCATAAAGTAAGCCACTACAGAAATAAAAAAAAATTCTCAAACTAAGCACACTACCTATACAAATGCCTAAAACTAGGAAAAAAGAGACAAACTTCATGAATCATTAATGGAGGAAAAAAATAGAAGATGAGAATTGAAATAATTAAGCTGAACCCTATTTGAGAGACAATATTGCAGCAGAAGAAAACTGTTACACAGCATACCAAACATTATAAAATATTCTCAAACTTAAATTTAGAGTTATATGTTAAAAATAGAATCCAAAATTCAGAAACTAAGAAGAGATATAAATAATAAGTAAGAAGAAATAAGAGAGTTGATCAGATTCAAACCAAAAAATCTTGTTTAAAAAACAGAAAGCAATCTCAGAAATGAGGATTAAATTACAAAGTTCCCATTGGATAACATTTTAGAATCAATAGCTAAGAAGTCATATTGAAGAGAGCTTGGGAAGTTATTAAGAAAATGAATATGTGCTACAGAAAGTAGAAAGGATTAGAGGGAAAGTAGTTATGATGGAATATATGCAGACAGTCCAACATATATAAAACTGAATTCTTTTTGAAAAAGCACAAAACTGTGCCAGGTGTGGTGGCTCATGCCTGTAATCCCAGCACTTTGGGAGGCCGAGGCGGGCGGATCATGAGGTCAGGAGATTGAGACCATCCTGGCTAACACGGTGAAGCCCTTTACTAAAAATACAAAAAAAAATTAGCCGGGCATGGTGGCTTTCTTTGGTCTAAAAACTAATAAAAATAGATGCTAAAGGAAATTTCTTAGTAAGAAGGCACCAAGGACTATAAAGTCTACTGCTGATGTCCCCACCTTTGAAACAAAAGATCAATTTCTTACAAATTATATAATTAGTTTATCTTCCACTTTCCTTTCCCTCAAAACTGGAAGTCTTTTAACATAGGTACCACCCGTAGAATTTCCGGTAAACCAGAACCAGCCTGAGGATCATGTTCCCATCAAAGGGTGGAAAGAAGGAAAACTTGAGCCATCCTGGGAAGGATCCTACCTTGTGCTGCTAACCACCGAGACCGCTGTTTATACAGCAGAAAGGGGATGGACTCATCACACCCAAGTCAAGAAAGCGCTGCCCCCTCCAGAGCCGTGGGCCACAGTCCCAGGGGAAAACCATACCAAACAAAAGCTAAGAAAAATTTAAGTCTCTTTCATCTGTTCTATTACTCTTTCTTCTTTCCTCGCTCTATTGCTGATCATCTAGTTATAACATAACCAAGTCAATTTCACCTAAAACTATTGTATTTGATGCTTGCCTTGTTATACCCTGTGGGGATTTGCCAAGTCAAAGACAGCTCTCTACTTCAGAAAAGTACCTCTGTCCCTCCTGACTCTCCTCAAACTGGGCCTTAGTAAATTGGGACCATTTGATCCAGGGAGATATCAATACAGACCCCAGTGTCAACCAGAATTCTTGCCCCATGATGTAGAGCTTTTATGTTGTAGTTGGTCCAATGTTCTGTGGACCACTAAAGAGCAAGGATGGACTGCCCCAACCGGTTTTTGTAATTTCCCAAAATCATACATTCATTTTACTACAGGATCATAGAAGTTAAAAACTTAAAACAAATTTTGGCAACTAAGACAGCATACCAAGATGCAAATGCCTGGTTGGAATGATCAAATATTCCATCCGCACGTTAAACAAAAGCAATTGTTATGCTTGTGCACATGGCAGGCCAGAGGCCCAGATTGTCCCCTTTCCACTAAGGTGGTCCAGTCGACCAGGCGTGGGCTGCATGGTAGCCCTTTTCCAGGATTCTACAACCCGGAGTAATAAGTCGTGCCAAGCTCTCTCTCTGCTATATCCCGAAGTCCGGCACCCTGTGTGTCAGCCCCCGAGGGCCATCCAGCTTCCATCTCCCAACACTAAGTTCACTTCATGTCTCTCACAACAGGGAGGAAACTTAGCGCTCCTTGGAGACCTGAAGGGATGCAGTGAGCTTAAGAATTTTCAAGAGCTTATAAGCCTGACTGAAATATACCTTGGACATTTGTGTTTCAAACTTAAACTTCTCTCGATAAATCATTGTATGCAGTATTTACGTAGTAGAACAAAAATATCAAATGTATTCAATAAAATACATGATGATTTTTACCATTTGCTTTATTCAATCTTATTGTATTATTAATGTGTAGTGTTGGTTATACATACTGTGGTTTACCTGTCTAAATTACTTTCAGAGGTAGTTACATAATTTGTTAAAAGTATTGCCCACCATTCCTTTGCCCATATCTATATTCTGAAAAAAAGAAATATTATAGTATGTTTACACATGTGTATGCACCATATACACACACACACACACGGCACACATAGCACATATATATTAACGATTTTTATTAAGAAATCATGGTTCTTATAAAACACCTCGGAGCACCATAATGGCCAGATATTGATATAGATGTAGATATATTTGTAAAGAAAAGTTATTTAGAAACTTGATCATTCAGTCAGCCCTTGTTCATCCCTGAGTGGATGTTTGGTGGTATTGTGGTGGACCTTTACTGGACACTCTGCCAAATAACTGGAGTGGCACTTGTGCTTTAGCCCAATTGGCTATCCCTTTCACCCTGGCATTTCATCAACCAGAGGAAGGAAAAATAAGACATCGTAAAGCGAGAGAAGCCCCTTATGGGTCTTTCGACTCTCATGTTTATTCAGACACAATTAGAGTCCCACGGGGAATACCAGATCATTTTAAAGCCAGAAATCAAATAGCTGCAGGATTTGAGTCAATATTTTGGTAGGTTACAATTAATAAAAATGTAGATCGGATAAACTACATGTACTACAACCAACAGTGATTTATTAACTACACTAGAGATGCTGTTAAAGGAATAGCTGAGCAATAAAGGGCTACTAGCCAGATGGATTGAGAAAATAGAACAGCCTTAGACATGATATTAGCAGAAAGAGGAAGAGTTTACATCATGATTAAACTCAGTGTTGTACAACACTGCCCCTGATGGAATTATAACAAAGGCATTACAAGGTCTGACTGCTCTGTCCAATGAGTTAGCCAACAACTCACGGGTAAATGACTCCTTTACAGGATGGCTAGAAAAGTGGTTTGGTAAATGGAAAGGAATAATAGCCTCAAGTCTTACTTCCGTCACAACTGTAATGGGTGTACTTACTCTTTTTGGGTGCTGTGTCATACCATGCATCTGTGGGTTGGTGCAGAGGCTCATAAAAACGGCACTTGCTAAAACCTCCCTTAACTACTCTCCACCTTATCCAGAGAAGCTTCTTCTTTTGGAAATCAAGCAAAACAACTAAGCCAAAACATGTTTCAAAAAAAGTTTGAAAAGAAAGCTGTAAGGAAATACAAGAGGAGGGGTTGTTAGATATGAGTCCTAAATTTCTTTTCAAAGAATCAATATGTCAGTATGTTCAATTCTTTGCCTTCTACTTTTAAATTTAACTTCATCATAAAGCAACCTTTTTTGATTACCTGGTCTACCCTGACTCATTTCAATCACCTGCTCTACCCTGACTCATTCCATTTACCTACTCCACCCTGACTCATTCCGATTACCTACTCCACCCTGACTCATTCCGATTACCTGTTCTGTCATAACCATTTTTGCCACCAAACCACTCACCCCGTCACTCTCTTTAAATTAGCCAATTGGAATGAGTTTAGCCTGGTGGTCTAACCCTAGCCAATAGGAGAACGACAGCAGCAGGGGCCACATGTGTCAGAGATAAGAACCCCTTCCCCTCCCTTGTCCAAGTGTGCTCTCACCATGGCTCCAACTGTAAGGGCGCATCCTTCTATAGAAGTAACTGGCTTTGCTGAGAATTAAAAGGAAAATTTTATATTTGAGTTCTATTCTTCTTTGGCACTGAAACTTTATTTATAACAACGTACAATCAAAGGAAGGCAGAAAAGCAGAAAGTTGGGGGCAGTTGTTACAATAAAAAGTCATTTTCTTTATTCAGTTCCTGGACCTGAGCCACTTTTCTAACTCTGATCCTTTGGCTAATGAAATGGTCAAGTCTAGAGGAGGAAGGACCCTGCCACATCATCACCAGCATATATTGTAATTATATCCCTGGTAATTTTCCCAAAAGTATCTAGAGTCATTCATAAGGGTGAATGTACACTTGAAAATTTGAATACTCAGACATTTGGAAAACTCTGAGACATAGAGTCTGAGTTGAAAATGATATACCAAGGTGTAAAATATGATTTCTTATAATGAGTGGGTAATACATATAATTCTGGCTAAAATCCAATTTGTAGTGAGTCCTGTGAGTCTGCAGAGATACTCAATGATTATTGTCTCATTGAGTGTACAACTTGGATTAACATACTTGGTAGTAAGAGGAACCCTACATGGTCTATGGCTTCTGGAGTAAGCTCTGTCATACTGGAGAAGGCCAAGTGGAAGCCTCTGAAACTGTTGTACACTTAGCTAAGAAAATATATATATATATATATTTTAATTATACTGATTTCTTGAAGTTGTGGAGATCAACATCACCATTTAGTACATAAAAAATGCAGGACTGAGGCTTTTTTTTTTTTTACTGTAAGTTCTGGGATACATGTGCAGAATGTGCAGGTTTGTTACATAGGTATACATATGCCATGGTGGTTTGCTGCACCTATCAACTCATCATCTAGGTTTTAAGCCCTGTGTGCATTAGGTATTTGTCCTAATGCTCTCCCTCCCCTTGCCCCTCAACCCCTTACAGGCCCGGGTATGTGATGTTCCTCTCCCTGTGTCCATGTGTTCTCATTGTTCAACTCCCACATATGAGTGAGAACATGAGATGTTTGGCTTTCTGTTCATGTGTTAGTTTGCTGAGAATGATGGCTTCCAGCTTTATCTATGTCCCTGCAAAGGACAATAATTCATTCTTTTTTATGGCCCCATAATATTTCATGGTGTATATGTGCCACATTTTCTTTATCCAGTCTATCATTGATGGGCATTTGGGTTGGTTCCAAGTCTTTGCTATTGTAAACAGTGCTGCAATAAACATATGTGTGCATGTGTCTTCATAGTAGAATGATTTATAATCCTTTGTGTATATACTCAGTAATGAGATTGCTGGGTCAAATAGTATTTCTGGTTCTAGATCCTTGAGGAGTCACCACACTGGCTTCCACAATGGTTGAACTAATTCACACTCCCACCAGCAGTGTAAAAGCGTTCCTATTTCTCCAAATCCTCTCCAGCATCTGTTGTTTCCTGACTTTTTAATGATCCCCATTCTAACTGGCGTGAGATGGTATCTATCACATTGTGGTTTTGATTTGCATTTCTTTAATAACCAGTGATGATGAGCTTTTTTTTCATGTTTGTTGACCACATAAATGTCTTCTTTTGAGAAGTGTCTGTTCATATCTTTCACCCACTTTTTGAAGGGGTTGTTTGTTTTTTTCTTGTAAATTTGTTTAAGTTCTTTGTAGATTCTGGATATTAGCCCTTTGTCAGATGGATAGATTGCAAAAATTTTCTCCCATTCTGTGGGTTGCCTGTTCATTCTGATGATAGATTCTTTTGCTGTGTAGGAGCTCTTTAGTTTGATTAGATCCCATTTGTAAATTTTGGCTTTTGTTGCTATGCTTTTGGTGTTTTAGACATGAAGTCTTTGTCCATGAGGCTTTCATCTCCATTTAATTTCTGAGAATGGCCATAAACTAACCCAACTTTAACCACTTAGTCCCTATTGTGGTTGTTTTGCCAGATGTAGTGTTATTACTAGAATAGATCTGAGAAAGTATTTTCCTCTAGTGCAAAAAAAAAAAAAAAAAAAAAAAAAAAAAGAAAAGAAAACCTAACTGGTATTCAGGAACAAATAAAAATATTCATTCATAAATTTGCTCAAGGCTAGATGAACTCTTCTACTCTCTGTTACAATATAATATGAAGAGGCCTAGACTATCTGAAGTCTGCAGAATATCTTATTGATCTATTACATTGATGACAGAGATGATTGGACAGGATGAATAAAACACCATAGCCTTCACAGATAGGGAGGTAAATCTTCATAGATAGGGAGATAATTATTTTCGTTAACCTCTCACTTCAGGATATTTCAGCAAGCTCCCGGACCAATCGTCAGGAGCTTGCTGAAATATCCCTTATAGAGGGTAAGAATAATTGCTACATTGTGATTCTCCTACCACAAAGAAGAAAGTGAAGTTTCTGGTGATAATATGGAGGCTGGAAGCAACAAATTTCATACATAGAAATACTGCACTGATCCACGTACCACTAGGCATAAAAAGCTGCCATTCCTGATTGTCACCTAGAACAGGAATATTCTAAGGTATGTTGATAACATTTCTGCTACCAAATCTTTATGAATAAGCACAAAGCATATTAGAATTACTCCCAGAAGCCATTACAATATATGGAGATTACTAACAATATCTTAATTATATACAGCAGTGACTGAGTAGCATGTAAAGTCTTAATTAAATATTTCTTTCAACCTTCTTCTCCTTAGCCAGATCCTCAAAATCCTTCTGGTAGTCAATATTACCTAACATCGAGAAAACTGTGATAAAGAGGAAGTTAGAATGAAAATAGAAGTTGAAATATCTTACATTTGGAAAAGTCATTAAAATACATATTTTAAAACACTTTGCTAGCACCCCTTCCAGAGACTCAGATGGCATTCATTTAAGTTAGCTGCCTTGAAGTTTAAGCCTCACTAGTTTCATGGCAAATCTGGCTCTGCCATTGCTTTTTTATTATTTAAAGCAAGCTATTATCCTCTGAAATGATTTGATTTGTTGTTTAAAGAAAGGAAAAAAGAAACATGACCTTGAGGAATATTCCTCTTTATAAGATTCACAAATAAAAGGTTGCAGTTCTTATTTTGAGATCAATATTTTAATTAACTTTAATTTTCATCTATGAATAATGTAGTTTGAGGCAGATAACTTACTAGTCTCTCACAAATGTATATCATATATTATTAGTGTGGCTTTTTATTTTGTTTAATTTGACCTGTCATCATAAGTACAAATTAATCAAAATTCAATAGGGCAAACAGTTCATAGAGAACTACCACCATAAACAAAATAAATCCTCAAAATAAATTAACATGCAACTAATAAATATGTATCACAAACTTGTATCCAATGCATAGCACTGTGAAACATCAAATATAATAAATTCAGGCCAACTTTAACCCCAATAAAGAAATAACTAATGAAGTACTGTAGATAATAACCTACATAACATAGCATTCTAAACATGCTAACATAACCAATCAAGAATAACTTTCAAATCTATCTGAATGATGAAAGGATTCTAAAATGAAACACAATTGATATAGTGCTTTAGCCAAGTAATAAATAACTGTCCCTCTAGTAAGAGATGTGTGTTTGGGACAGCCACTCTCTTACACATTCTAATAAATTAAAGGCAAAATTGGAAGCAGGTATTTTGGTGCATCAAATTTAGAATTAGTCTTACACACAGAAAATATATAATACACATGCTAAAATTGCATACCACTGGTCCCAGTCAGCCAGAATTCACAGTCTTAGCTACTCACCAATCATTTAAAAAGATGGTGTATAAGAAAAGCATACTGTCTCGCATCTCAAAAAAAACAAGATGGTCTAGTCAAAACATATCCTTATTGTAGCTGTAGGACATATTTTCTTCATCATTGGCTGGCTGACAAATATATTCTAACCTACTTTGGAAAAACAGATGAAGTTTAAATGGATTGAATGATATATTTCTGTATACTTTACGCCTCTACATATCTCTAAAAAATTTTTTTGGATCTAATTTTCAAGAAAAGATTGTTGCCTCAGAGAAGCTGATGGGCCTTATTTCCATGGGCAATTTAAATTTTATGTAGAATTATGGTTTGTTTTTCATTTAAAACAAGAGAAACAGCATCAAGTTTATATTTAATTTTAGTAGAATATTTCTCGTGATTTCCTGGATTAAGAGCAATTAAGAGATTCTCAATTTATCTCCCTAGGGCATTTTCTTGATAGAAAAGTGTTTCTTGTAACTATTCCTCAACTATTCCTGACTTCTGCTTTTCTGTTGGTAAGACTGCAGACAGATTCTGAAATTCCAAGTCATTTTTGTTAATGTGTCCTCTCCCCTAACATTCAAAGCCATTCATATGCTTGAAGGGCATCAGGACTAATTACTTCTAGTGAATGCTGTTGAGTACTTCCCAGATACTATTCAAGGACCTAATTACTGCAGCTGCTTGGAGTATTGCCTGCTGAATTCTCATAGTCAACTTCTTCTCCAGCAGTAGTGTCAAGCTGAAGGGAGCTGCTTCACGTAACATCTTGCCCTTACCATAAGGGAATCCCATCTTCAGTGATTGTGTGACGAAGGTGTACAGAGGCCCACACCTCTCACATATATTCACGGTATCCCTGAAAACCCACCTCATCTCCGAAGTCCAACTGACTGATGCCTCAGTTACAAGTGAATCATAATTCAACTTCTCTCTACCCAATCCTGATTGATTCACTCTCTTACAAATAGTGTTCTCAGTAGCACTCATCAACAAAATCTCTGTAAGCAAATCTTTATTTCCTGGGGAAAGTGACTTATGTCTGTTGGTATTGGATGCATTCCTAGGAAAATGATCCTAAAATAAAGCAGAATAAACCACCAGCAAGATGCTAATGAGTACTCAGTCACTGGTCAGGTTTAGTAGTAAATGTCCCTTGCATGCTATAGAGATGCAATTGTTAAAAATTCATCCAGTAGGCCGGGCGCAGGTGCTCATGCCTGTAATCCCAGCACTTTGGGAGGCCAAGGCAGGTGGATCACCTGAGGTCAGGAGTTCGAGACCAGCCTGGCCAACGTGGTGAAACCCCCATCTCTACCCCCATCTCTAAAAATACAAAAATTAGCCGGGTATGGTGGTGCATGCCTGTAATCCCAGCTACTAGGGAGGCTGAGACAGGAGAATCGCTTGATCTCAGGAGGCAGAGGCTGCAGTGACCTGTTCACATTCTTGAGCCAGTAATTGAAAAATGAATAGTTACATTTCCTTTCTTAATCGCTTAATTTCCTTTCTTTGGTAGCTGTGGTATATTTCAATTTCACTAGAAGAAAGAATTGTTAGTGTTAAGGCAGATGAGAGATTGAAATTCTATGTACATAATAAATGCTAAAATTCTAAATAGAATACATAATAATTCTTCCTTTGATTGCCATCAAAGAAGGAAGTTGACTGTTAACAATTTCCTTTTTATCATAACCCTATCAATGTTTCCCTTTACTTGTCCAGATACTTAATCATTGTCAATCCTACATAAAGTGCCTCCTTCCTTTTGAAAATATAATGAGCCTGTGAGATTTTATTCCTGAGTCAAACAGAATTCTTCTGTCATCACCCTCCTTGATTTTATTCCTTTGTTTGTATGCTCATGCTAATGGACTACCTAGAAATGAAATTCAATATAACTCCACTGTGATAGACACACAAATAAGAGAAGAAAAGAATACTAAAAGGGGGAAGGTATTTTTGACTTTGGGAATAGGAAAGGACAAGGAGCAGCCATTTTCAGTAGTAGCATATGTCAATAATTTATACACACCTGCAGTGTATCAGAGTAAGAAACAAGCTTCCTTTTTTGCAATAAAAATATTCAATGCTAAAGTTTTACAATACCATTTATTCTCCACAATCTTCTCTCCTGACTCCTCTCTCTCCCCTATTTTGTCTCTTATTACAACAGAGTACATATTTTAATGTGTATGTTTGTGTTTATATTGGTGTGTAGAAAAATGACAACACTGGTTTTTATATATGTAGACCATGGGTTGGATAAATTGGAAAAATATGAAAGACCAGAAATTATTTAGAAAGTACTTCAATAGCAGAAGAAAATAAAATGGGGCTGGTTTAGTAGTAGAGAAGACTAGGAAAACCACCACAGTGAAAAAATATTACAGAAGATGAACTAAGATTTCAAACTTAATATGGGAATGTGGGAGCAAAGGGAAAGGAGGAAGAAGGAGCTAAAGATTACTCTGGAGAAGAGATCAAAGAAAACAAAGGGACAAAAATGTACTGCCTCTACTGTGAATCAGAATGGTAAATCACAGTGTTATGTCTTCCAGCTTTCAGTTTGTTATATATTAATCTACCTCATTTATGCTAAGCCTCATTTGCATTATCTGTAAAATGTTGATATAGTATCTACCTACTATCTACCTACCAAGGTTGGCTGCAGTAGGGATTATATGAGATAATGTACTTAAAATATACATTAAAGCATATGCTGATTAATCATTGTTTCACAACTAGTAGTTATAAAATTCCAGATTATTATGGTGAAAAATTAAATTTAAAGCAAACATTAATTTCCAAAGGGTGATGACATCCACCTTAAGACAGTGCCTTATTCATCTCATTCACCGTAAAGAGCACGTAACTTTCTTGATTTCATAGTACAGTAGTTAATAGAGTTTACTTCACATCCTGTTAATAGTTTATATCACTGTGTTTTTATTTTAAAGCCATAGATTAGTGTTCATTTCACGTGATATTGTAGATATTTTTAAAATGGCTTTTAAATACAGCAAAATATAAAATCAAACAAATTTTGTGTTTGATTTTAATCAAACAAATTTAATCAAACAAAATTAACAAAATATAAAATCAAACAAAAACGGCTTTTAAATACACCAAAATATAAAATCAAAACAGAATTAAGAAGCAGTATATACCTGTCTGAAAAGCAGTATATACTTTTGATAGCAAATATTTACATTATGTTTGCTTAAAGTAAAACTAAAATGTATATAAAATAACTATTCTATTATTACAAAATAAGGACAAAGGTAAAGATACCAAGTGGACCCAACATAATCAAGCTTAGCTTGTTATTAATAACTATTATATGCCTAGTTTAAAACTATTTCATGTGAATCATAAAATGATGAAAATAAAAAATGGCCTTTCCAAATGTGATTAAAGTAACAAATTGAAGTAACTGATACCATGGCGACTGTGGACTCTTCCAAGTCTGCTATTTCTTTAGTAGCTAAAAAGTTGCAATAACCAGCTGGGCCCGGTGGCTCATGCCTATAATTCCAAAACTTTGGGAGGCTGAAGCAGGCAGATCACGAGGTCAGGAGTTTGGGATCAGCCTGGCCAACATGGTGAAATCCTGTCTCTACTAAAAATACAAAAAATTAGCTGGGCATGGTGGCGCGCGCCTGTAGTCCCAGCTACTCAGGAGGCTGGGTCAGGAGAATTGCTTGAACATGGGAGGCAGAGGTTGCAATGAGCAGAGATTGTGCCACTGCACTCCAGGCTGGCAACACAGCAAGACTCCGTCTCAAAAAAAAAAAAAAAGTTGCAATAACCAAGGAGGAAGCAGCACTTCCTTTTGCAATTAAGAATGCTCACACATTTTCCAAAGATTAAATATATAATTTTAATTCCTTTTTTTGTTGGTTGTTTTGCTTTTAATTTAATTTTAAGTTCTGAGATACATGTGCAAGACGTGCAGGTTTGTTATATAGGTAAACACGTGCCATGGTGGTTTGCTGCACCTGTCAACCCATCACCTAGGGATTAAGCCCCACATTCATCAACTATTTATCCTAATGCTCTCCCTCGCCCCGACCCCAGTATGTGTTGTTCCCCATCCTGTGTCCAAATTGCTTTTCCTCTGTAGTTTGAAGCAGTAATATAATAGGCCTAGAACCTGGAGCCTGTCTCTTCTAGCAGGTACTCAGCAGCTGAAATCTGCAAGTGGGATTGCTTCCTTTCAGTACTGGCAGCATTTGGTTACTTACCTATGACATTTCTGACCTGGTTTCCAAAGAAACCCAAAACAAGGTTTTTATTCTTAGCCCTGAAATTTTATACGATGGTAAGTGTATCTTTAAACATATAAGTATAAAAGGGAAAAAAGAAAATAAATGTTATCAATTTATTTAATGTGTTTTTCTCTGTTCTCCCTTTCCTAATAGAGTTCAATTTCTACATGTATTTTTCGAATTTTATCATTTTTATTTAGACTTCGAAATTGAAGCAGATATTTGGCAGTATCCATAAGCCAATCAAAGATGAGGAAATTTACATCTGTATTTAAATGGCTCATGGTTGATGGATCACACGCACAATTTCGAAGAGTTTTTAAGTGCATAATAATGGATATCAAGGTTAATAGCTTTACTAATTATACTACTTCAGACTAGAAGAAAAATATGGGAGTAAAACAGAACAATGTTTGGAAACAACTAGTATTTAGACACATACTTTTTATGACATATTATAACATATGTATGTCATATTACAAACATTTAAAAATGTGTTACAGATAAAATTATTATATCATTATATAATATTTTAGCTAATATATTCAAAACACATTTGTTGTTGTTAGTGATAAATATACATGTATATACATTTATATTACTTACTATATTGTTAGACCCTCCAGTGAAAGATTGAATAGAAGTGAGTATCCTTTCCTCGATCCTGACCTTAGCAGAAAAGAGTCCAGTTTTTTTTTAACCATTAAATGTAAGATACACATCTCACATTTACATATATATACATATATAGATATATATGTATATATGTGTATATATGTATATATATGTGATATGTATGTATCTATGATATATATGTATATATCGATTTACATGTGTATATATCGATATATCGACATGTGTATAGACATATAGATCGATATATAGATATCGATATATAGATATATATCGATATCTATGTGTATATATCTATATAGATACAGATATTTTTATACAAAGTCTTGCTCTGTCACCCAGGCTGGAATGCAGTAGCGCGATCTCGGCTCACTGCAACCTCTGCCTCCCGGGTTCAAGCGATTCTCCTGCCCCAGCCTCCTGAGTAGCTGGGACTACAGGCGTCCGCCACCATGCCTCGCTAATTTTTGTATGTTTTATTTATTTAATTATTTTACTTTATTTTATTTTATTTTTGATATGGAGTCTTGCTCTGTTGCCAGGTAGGAGTGCAGTGGTACGATCTCAGCTCACTGCAATCTCCACCTCCCAGGTTCGAGTGATTCTCCTGCCTCAGCCTCCTGAGTAGCTGGGATTACAGGCATGTGCCACCACACCCAGCTAATTTTTGTATTTTTAGTAGAGATAGGGTTTCACCATATTGGCCAGGATGGTCTCGATCTCGATCTCCTGACCTCATGATCCGCCTGCCTCAGCCTCCCAAAATGTTGGGATTACAGGCGTGATCCACCATGTCCAGCCCATTAAATGTGATACTAGCTCTAGGTTTTTTAGTAAATGATGTTTATCAGATTGAGGCAGTTGACTTACATTTCTAGTTTCTTTAGTTTATTAAATTCAAAATAAATGCTGAATTGAATATTATTAAATGATATTCTGCATCAATTTAAATGGCCATATGTATGTTTTAAATGTGGTGACATGATTTACTTTGACTGACATTCTAACATTAAATCAATCTTGCACCTGCAATGAACACTTGCTTATGATTAATTATTATTTTGTTATATTGTTAGATTCAATTTGCTGCAATTCTGGTACAAATTTTAGAGTGTGTTTTTGAGGAATATTGATTTGTCATTTTATTTTTCTTTTAACATGTTATCTCACTTGGTTACACAGTCATGTTGGCTGGGCACAGTGGCTCACACCTGTAATCCCAGCACTTTGGGAGGCCAAGGCAGGCA